>NC_000001.11:207881556-208033071 GCF_000001405.40 Homo sapiens
GGCTGAGGCAGGAGAATGGCGTGAACCCGGGAGGCAGAGCTTGCAGTGAGCCGAGATCACACCACTACACTCCAGCCTGGGTGACAGAGCGAGACTCCGTCTCAAAAAAAAAAAAAAAAAAAAAGAATCAGCATTCTTCTCTTCAGCCAGATATTAGAGAGATTTACCAAAGTCTAAAACAATGACACTCTTTTTCCTAATTGTTTTTGTTTTGGAAAATATAATTATTTTTCATTAAGAAAAGCATTACTTACATTATCATGTAATTGAATAATTATTGTTATTTTTAAACAAATTAATAAATAAAATTTTCTCAATTTTAATTTTTGAAACAGTAATAATTGATAGATGTAACTTTCAAAATCAAAAGCTCTTTGAAGTTCTAAATTTTTAAGAGTGTAAGAGGGCTTTGAGAATAGCTGGTGTAGAACCTGCCTAACTCTCCAGTCTCATGGCTTGTAATTTCCTCTCCTCTCTCTTATATTCGACTTGAACTTCCAGTTCCAGACAAGATGGAGTGGACACACTTTTTCTTATGCCTCCTGTTAACTAACTCTAAAAACCCTGGACATTATATATAAGTCAAACATAGGGAGACTCCGATATGTAGAGAGAAGAAGGCAGAATTGGGAGGGACTTTTGGACTCAAGGAATGACATGGCACCAGGGTGGTATCAGCAGAGATCTACTGGGAAGCCTGAACTTCTAACCTGGGCCAGCAATAATGAGGTACCCCCTTCACCCCATCCCACCTCTCTGCCCTGAAGGTGTCAACAGCTGAATGGGGAACCTGGACCCACCAGTGTGGTATCAAAGGAGGGGTGCTAAACAGAATCTTTCAATAAGATCCAGTCTTTCAACATAAATCCCAAATTTCCAGATGCAATTAAAATCACTGGTAATACCAAGAACCAGGAAAATCTCAATTTGATTGAGAAAAAACCATTAACAGATGCCAACATTGAGATGATAAAGATGTTGAAACCATCTGACAAGAATTTTAAAACAGACAGCCATCATAAACATGCTTTAATGAGCAATTGCAGCATGCTTGAAACAAAAGAACAGAAACACTCAGCAAAGAAATAGAAGGTATAAAGAAGAATCACATGCTTTGCTTGAGCCTTAAAAGAATCACTCACATTTCTGGAACAATCACCCTCACTTTGCTCCTGGGACAAGGCTTCTTCCTCTCTCGGGAACACCCATATCTCTCCTTTTCTCCTCTTTAACTCCTGCTTGACCAAAGGATCAGTCCAGACGTCACTTCTCCTGGGAAGCCTTCCATGGTCTTCCACGGCTTCCATGCCCCTCCCACTCAGAGCTTCCTATACCATAGCACTTACACTCAATGCATATTGTTCTGTCATCTGTCCCTCCCACATCCACCCAATGTAAAGACTTGACAGAAGGGACTATGTCTTATCCCAGGTGCCTGGCATAGTACCTGGCTTATAATAAGCACTCAAATATTTTTTGAATAAATGAATAAATTAATGAATAAATGGAAACTCTTCTGTGGCTCCTCTTCTATTGGATAAAATTAAACTCTGTGGTTTAGCTTTAAACACCCTACACAAACTGTGACACCCGGATCTTTCTGGTACTCGGCTTCCCTTAACACATTCTACTTCTCTGTCATACCAGAAAACACATTGTCCTTTGACAGTACCTTATCTTTCCCCATCACTACATATTGTATGTACTCTTCTATCAGTCTCAAATGTCCTTACTCATTACTATCATCAAAATCGTATTCATTTTTACAGGACCCACTCAGAAACCACCTGTTCATGACCCAGTCTCAGATCTTCTCAGCTGGAAAGGGTCCTGCCCACATCTAGATACAAAGCACTTCATTTAGTCTTTCCTCGTGTTATTTCTCACTTTCTGTTGTGCATTTTTTTTCTTGCTTCTTTGTTTAAATGTGTGTTGTATTATCCCCAAGATTTAAACATTTGGGGTTCAAATAAACTCACATCCTATTCATCTTTGCCTCTGCCACTGTGCACGTAACACAGTCCCTTGTTATTCTCTGAGTTTCAGTTTCTTTTTCTGAGATAATAGAACCTACTTCACAGGGTTTCTGTGAATGTTAAGTAAAATATGCTATTTAAATATTGGCACCATATCTCAATTTTCATACAGTAAGCACTCAAAAACTGTTAGCTACTATCATTGTAAATATGATTATTATTTGAAGAAATAAATAGACTGAGCAAGTCCTGTTACCTCTACTTTGAAACCACTTTTTGAATTCTGCTTGATCTCATCACTGCCAATATGATCACCTGCTCCCAGCCATGATCGTTCTTCTTGCTACGGTCTCCTTCTACTTTCTTATCCCTCAACCTCTATTCTCTACTCAGCAGCCAGCATGATCCTTTTAAAACATAAAGCAGATGATATGACTTCTCTGCTCAAAACCCTCCAGTGGCTTCCCAATCTACAACTAAAAAGGCCCCATGTAGTCTGACCTCCTGCCTCTCCCCACCCCCACTCACTGACACAACCTCATGGCCATCTTGCCCCCTGCCATCTGAGGCTTTCTGCACTTGGCAGCTTTTCATCATAGGGCTTTGCACTTGTCCTTTCCCCTGTGTGGGATAATCTCTCCCAGCTTGGCATACAACCTGCTTCTCCACTTCATTCAAGTGAAGCTGTGCTCTCCACTGTTATTTTTCTAAAAGTAACCACCATATGTAAAATACCAACCATTATTCTCAATATATTTTATGTTTTTCATAGCTCTCAATCCTGAAAACACATGTATATACTTACTGAGATGACATTGTTTACTGTCCTCTTCTGCTAGAATTATAAGCTTCATGAGTGTTTGCTGTATCCCCAGTCTCAAGAACAGTGTCTGGCACATAACAGATGTTCTGGCACATTTCGCGCAGTGTCTGGCACATCATAAGACTTGATGAATGATTGAATGGTGGCTGGAAGCCTCTTCGATGGGGGCTTTAGGAAGAGAAGCAGCATCCTGTTGCACAAAATCGATGACCTATTACTGGTTTTGTGTGAAGAGGAAGTGTGGGATTAATCTACCTAGAAGGGATGAGATGGAAGTGATCTATTTATCTGGACTTAGATGGTATTCCCATTTATCCATTCAGATGAAAATCTGGCTGAAGATAATTCCAGATATGCTCTCCATAGTCAACAGTGTAATACCCTACAGCTAATTTTCCTGGGCTCACTGTGGGCGCCGAAGAAGCCGAACCTCATGGCCTCCTGTGATCTTTGTCCTGGGGCTCCTCCAGGACCTGCTTGGCTGGCCAGGCCTAGGATAGCTTATGTTGATGAAATGCTCCAGAAGTGAAGTCCCAAACCTATCTTCACACTGCCACACTGGCTTCATGACATCCAACTGGAGTAACACGGAGGACTCGGCAGAAGAGTAGGATGATATGATGGAAGGGAAAACTACAGATTCAGGACTTTGGAATTCTGGGTGATTGGGCAAGCCACCTCCCTTCTCTGAGCCTTAGTTTGTCTTTAACTATACCATAAGGGAGTTTAATTAAATGTATCTTTAAAGTTCTCTTCAACAGTGACGTTCTATAGTTATATGAGCTTTGTGTACAAGAGAAATTGGACTAGAGGGTGGGGCAGCCAGGGAGAGAAGCCCAACATGGAGGCGATTGAGCTGAGGCTGAGCAGTAGGACCTCAATAAGGCCAGCAGGTGGCGCCATTGCTGTACCAGGACGCTCAGGCCCACGGTGGGAAAGTTGGATTTTTCCAGAAAGCAGGCAAATTCTTCAGGGCAAGCTGTCCAGCTGTCAGAGGGAACCAGCTGCCCCACCCCACCCCGCAATACACACACAGCCCTTCCTCCCAAAGCATACATACACATTCCAGCAAACTCAGGGTGAGATGCATTGCAGGTTGCTAGGCCTGAAGCTGGAGGTGCATCCAAGTTGCCTTTTCCTCTCCTCCCATATTTCCTAGGAATCTGAACCCTGAACCCACCCCTCCTACTTGATGTCCTAGCTGGGACAGACCCTCACTGGATTACTCTCAAGGCAAGATGTGCAACTAGATGCAAGTGGGCTGGACTTCCCTACTGATTACCATCGTCTTTTGCTCATCATCCTTTGCTCCAACCCTCAAGGCAGCCATCGCCTTTGAGGGAAGACTCTGAACCTCATCATTTCGCCTCCCCTCTGTCCTAGGGAAGAACCTATGATTAGAGGAGTTGGAGAAAAGCAAGAAGGAGATGGGGGTGGAGGAGTGCTGAAGGGAAAGGTCTGGCTTTATGGAGATAAGAATGGAAGAATCAACCTTTGTTTGGCCCCAACTGCCTCTGCCACTGTCGACACACTTGGGAGTGTTTCCTGGAGCTCCTCAGCACTCCCTCCCCAACTTCCTATGGCCTGGTAGGGGTGGGGTGGGGGTTGTTTTGGAAGCTGGGGGGAGGTACATGCTTACAGATTTTTTTTTTAATTAGGCTGCTGTCTTAATCTTGAGGGTGGAAACCAGCCCCCTCCCTGAGTTGGCTGCCAGGTCTCTAGAACAACAGTCCCCACATAGTCCTTCACTGTGTCTACTCTGACCTGGGGGGCTGGGGAGGGGGGTGGCCTGATAATAAAGGGTGCACAGGACATTGCCCCTTCCCTTTGTTTTGCATATTTTGCAGCAGTGATCAGCATGCTCCTCTTCTCAGAAGGGTGTTCATGAAGGGTACAGCTCCTAAGAACCCAACATACCACCCTCCATTTGGAAGCTCCCTGGTACATTCGGGTCTGCCTTTCTACCACTGGAAATGGATGTTTCCTCTCCCCATGGAGGAGAATAGTTGGCAGACTTGGCTAAAGGTCCTTAGCATCCTGGCTGGTGCCTGTGTCTGCTGAGGTGCTCCCTCTTCCCTGGCTGGTCCTCCCCACCACATCACTGCACAGTCTAGCTAGGTCTAATGGAGGGTGTCACTCTTGCATGCAGACACACCCAGCTAAGACAGAGTCACATAACAGATGTGTTTCAGTATCACTTTAATTGCAGTATTTAAACACATCACTTTGTATTCAGAAAAAATATCTACCCAATACTCTCTTCTCTGGAAATTTCTATTTCCAACCGTCATTGAAACCAGGATCCCTGCTCAACCCCTCTGGAAAGAAATCAACAGCAAACAAGGACCTGGGTCACCCACAGAAGAGGCAGCTGGTGATAAGGGTTAGGAGCTGATCTGGGCTATGACCATATGGGGGTGCAGAGCAAGGAAGGGGCTCAGGGTGAGGGAGGCAGAGACAGAAAAGCATCTGTTGGGGGACTGAGGCAACAGCTCAACCCAGGAGTCGGCAGGAGGGAGGAGGAAGCCATGGAGATCAGAGGATAAGGCTAGGATCCAGCCTCAGAGGAAGAGGATTTTTCGGAAGAGTACAGGTGAGAGGCTCAGCTCCAAGACCTGGTCCCATGGTCCTGCCTACTTTGATCCAGAGGGAGAAAAAGGAGCCCAAAAAGAGTTTCTGTGTGGCCCCAGAGAGACTAGAACTGAGCTGTTTGTCCTAAAACTTGGGAGGCCTGTTCTAGGCTCCAGCCAGAAAACTGTGCAGGACTCTGCAAATGGTAGAGGGGGCACATGGAGCTCAGTGGAACTTAGAGAACAAGGGAGGAGCTGGTGACCAAGTCCACAGTGTCTTGGAGGAGAGATGAGGGAAGTGGTTCAAGGCAACACGTTTTTCTGGCTATATCATTACAAGAGAGCAGGTGCAAAAGGTTACTTTGGTTTCCTCAAAGTAGAGAAAGAAAATACAGGGAAGAAACGGTAAAAATCAAAGCTTCCTGGGAGAAAATTGTAGCCTAGAAAAGCTCATCTTTCCCCTGGGGGTTCCTGTATTGCGGCAGAGAGGAGGGGGTAGGGGAAGGGGGTCCTGTGTGAGTGCTGCAAGGCCATCGATTGTTCCTGGGAGCTTCTCCAGACCTTGGCTTTCCCCCGTCACACGTTTACCCAAAGAAGACCAGAGTCTGGCTCCAGGGAGCCGAATGTGTAAAGGACAGGAGTTTACCTGCCCCTCCTCAAGGTGTAGGGCCCCAAGAACAGCCTCTGAGGTGTGTGCAGTGGGGAAGGGTTGGGCGTAAGAGATGTCACCTCCAGCATGGGGGTAGCACGTGGTCAGATGCAGAGAGGGGTGCTCTCTCGGACACTGCCCAGCCTTGCCCCACCTAGCCGAGTCACAATTCGGTATCAGCCACCACGTGTTGTCTTGCTGAATGGCCGTTTCTGGAGGTGGCCTGGCCGGTCCCGTTTTCCTGAGCCCCTCGGTTCACACTGGCCTTTCCCTGAGCCTCAGGGGAGGTCCCAGGTCCTGAGCTATAGCCCTGGCCTCCACCGTTTTCCGTGTAATAAGGGTCTTCGCCCTAGACAGTGTATAAATAAAGTAGCATTATCTGGTAAGCAGGGCTGTGAGACACTGGATGGGAGAGGGGCCCAAACAGGAAGTGGGGGCAGGGGTGGGAGAAGGGGGAGGGGGAGGTGGGAGGAAGGATCGGAGGGAGGGTGCAGCTGCATGTGCAGACTCCTTTCTTCCTGAAGAGTGGTCAGGGTTCCAGCTCCTAGAGGAGAAAGGACATAGGAGAGGCACCACACCATGCCACCGCAGCTCGGCAGCCAGCTCCCGCAGGAAAACGGGCAGTTCCAAGAAGGGTGGGATGACCTCCCCAGGGTAGGGGACAGGCCAGAGGCCAAGATTCAGACCTCAGCCTTGTCCTCCCTCATCCAGAATGGCAAATGGGGATTCTCCTTCCGTATACCTCCTTTTGAGCAAGGGGGCACCCACTGGGCATTTAACACGGTTGCAAATACAGTGTGGCTGATTAAACAGCCTGTTCTGGTGGCCCCAAGCTGAACTATCCCAGAAAACATAATGAATAGATGACACGAATCATCTGCTACCACACCGAGTAGGTGGGCTGGCACCATTACTGTCCCCTCCCCAGTTTGCTACATAATATTTTGAATCTTCCACCGATTACTGTGTGTGCACACATGCATATCTTTATGTAAGCTCACAGAAGGGCTTTTTCTAGTATTTCTCCTCCTGCTCCATGACATCCACTGAACTCCCCAGAAACCCACTATCTTCCTCATTTCCTTTACCCTGGCCCCCAGAACTGACCAGCCTTTCTCCTGTGGGGCTCCAGCTGCGGCGATTCATCAGGAAATAGCCAGTGATGCCCAAGACAGCCAGCAGGGCTCCCGAGGTGACCAGTGCAATCAGGGTCTTTTGGGAATAGCTCTGGTGGCTTGCAACATCTTGCTCAGTGAAATCTAGGATCCCCAGCTTGAAAAGAAGACAAAGAAGATACAGCCTGTCACTTGCCAAAAGTGGAGCCCAGCCCGCTCCAGCCCTCTGTGTGTGACTCAACAGTGAACAGATGCTTGAGGGCATTGACCTCAGGAATTTTTGAAATGGGATTTGAGACTGACGTCTCTTAATTCAGTCATACCCCACCATTTTTGGTTCAAGACTAGAAAGGAGAAGACTCAGAGAAGGATGGTAGGTAGAACTGGGGAAGATAATGACTTCCCCCCTTACTCCAGGGAGCCCCCCTGCCCCGGCATTCCCTCTCAGGCCCATCATCTCAGAGGACTTACCTTTTTCAGGTCAGATTGGTGCTTTTTCATAAGTTGGAGTTTGCTGGAAATTTCTAGAATTAGAAACAAGGGTTGCTAAATCTAAAGAGAAACCAGCTTATCCTGCTCCACCCTCCCATGCTGTTCTAGAAGATGCTCTGATGGCCAGGGTGGTCCATCTCGGGGGGACCGCTCCCAAAGCCAGCCAAGTCCTTCTCCCCAGCACCTGTGGTCTCTCTGGATCTAAGATGCCCCATCTCCACCCAGGATTCTCTAACCTCAGCCCTACTCCTTCCCTGTTCCCCCAGGCAGAGGTGCACCTTACCTGTTCTGTTGGCCAAGACCAGCAGTAGACACTGAGGCCTCACCTCAGACTGGGCAAGGAGCAGGGAGCATACCTGGGCCCCAGCATCAGCATCAGCCTGCTCCTCCCCACACAGCACTCGGGCCAGGCCCTCTCCCCTGTCCTTCTTAAACTCCGCCTGGGAAGACAGAGAAACATGGAGAGCAAGAGATGAAATTACTGCTCTGCCCTAAACTGCACCCAGAGTCTCTGATTACAGTCATACTCTTACCCCGTCCGCAAGAAGGATCCTTGTTTCTAAAATTCCAACAGAAAAAAAAAAAACTGCTAACTGTATATGTGCAACAACACAATAAGAAAAAAACCTAAATAATCTCCCAGGACCAAAATCCATATCTTCTAGTATCTAAGATGTTAGAGAACAAACTTAAAAAAATTGTCTCGTTGAAGCATTGCCCATGTACACATATGCAAATTAAACTCAAAAGAAATGGCCAAAAACAGAAAATATTAATAATGCAATAATAACTAAGAGAAAATATTCTGTTTCAAGATTACAGCAGTCCCCAATGATGGAAGAAAAGCCAAGGGAGGTGAGGAGGAGAGAACAAATCTATAATATACACTCAGTGGAAACCTCAGTGGCCTCCTCCCTCTTTCTACCCAAAGGAGTCTCAAAAAGTGCATTGCTCAAACTGAAATGGCATTTTTGTCTCGTCTTCCATCTCTGTTTTCCATTAAAAGCATGGAACCCAGTTTTAATGAAGTTCATAGATTTTTCTTCAGGTTGCTGACTGGGCCATCAGACCCAGGAATTTGGACTCAGAAGAAAAACTCTGATAATTCTTCAATAGTGAGTCAGAATTTATTCCAGCAGCCTCCAATCAGAGTGTCCTCCTCCCCTGAACAGGAAAGGAATTGAAACTAAGACTTTCTCTTCAGTCCGGATGGCAGATGGCAGAGAAGGAAATGCCTGAACAGCCCTGACAACTTTCCTGTTAGGGGAAAACTGCTGGGGTGTGTGACCATCATCAGAACTGGGTCTCTGTGGAGGAGAAAGCTTCCTGTTTGCGGGCAGGGCCGCTGCTTGCAACAAGGCCACAGGGTCCTCCCAGTTGGAATGGAGCCTGGGTATTTTCCCACTGCTGTGACCCAAGGCAGGAAAACCCAGGCTCCTTTGCTCCTACACAAAGCAAGGTCAAGATTGGCCTCAGGACCCAGCTGGAATTTGAAGCAGCTGAGGGAAAACAACTGGGCTTGGATAAGGCCAGGAGAGTGTGGTTAGCCAAACTCCAGGTCACAGAGACACGAGCCCAAACTGGAGCCTCAAAAAACCCCCAGGAAACAAGGCTACAGAGAAATGAGTTCTCAGGCCACTGCTGCTTCATTCCTCAGGAAAAGGAGCAATTCTGCAGGTCTCCCAGTAAGTCCTTGGATAGACGTTCTAACTCTGGAAAAATCCGTTTTTCTGAACAGCATTTGAACTAAGTAGTCTGAATGCCACACTGAACCAATCAACAGTCTCCACCTCTCTAAACCCAGTTGTCTCAGGGGAGCCTTACATGGCTTCCCCTTGAGCACCCCCGCTCCCCAGCACCGAGAGTCTGGATGAGGAGGAGGGGGTTTCTTGCCTGGATGACTCTGGGCTTCTGAAGTATCTCCAGTTGAAATAGGTCTGCTTCCCAAGAGAGGCAGAGGGACAGGGCTCCTGCAGGTTGTAAACTAGCCAAACCAAATGGCACCTTCCTCCACCTGCTGAGTGCAAGAAGCCACACCTTGACAATGTATCAAGCCCTGAATATAGGACACTGCGTGAAAGCCTCTGTGCAAGTGTCATGTGTATGTGTGTTGTATTCATGTGTCATGTGTAGGGGGGTGGGGATTGGGAGGTATCTATGAATTCCACCTTGTCAAAGCTTTCAGTTTGCATGTACGGCAATTAAAATGATGGATGCCAACCAGGCGCGGTGACTCATGCCTGTCATCCTAGCACTTTGGGAGGCTGAGGTGGGAGGATTACTTCAGCCCAGGAATTCGAGACCAGCCTGGGCAACACAGGGAAACCCTATCTCTATAAAAAATTTAGAAATTCAACCGGGTGTGGTGGCATGCACTTATAGTACCAGCTACTTGGGGGGCTGAGGTGGGAGGGTCTCTCCACCCTGAGAGGTTGAGTCCACTGTACTCCACCCTGGGTGACAGAGACCCTGGCTCAAAAATAAAGAAATAAAAAATAAAGTAACAGATGCCTATGATATCCAGGCACAGTTCTGAGTGCTTTCCATATATTAACTCATTTAGGCCTCACACGACCTACGAGATTGGTAGAGTTATTCTACTAATTTTGTAGATGAAGAAATGGAGGCGTGAAGAGACTCCAGAGGCCAGAGCTACTGCCATGGTAAGCACCATAAGAAAGGTACAACCAAAGTGCTATGGACATACTAAGGAGCGTGAGGACACGTCTGGTTAAGGTTAGCAGACACATGTCACTATAGGCCTTGAAGAATGGCTGGAGGGTGAGCAGAGGAAGCCAGTGGGGAAGAGCATTTGGAACTGAGGCCCCACCTCCAGGAAGCCCAAGATGGGGACAGCATGCATTATTCCACAACCCTCATTTCAAAGAGAATGAAGAACACTACCTTCTCCCTGGTATTCACTATCCTTCAAGACTCAACTCAGTTTCTACCTCCTCAATGAAGCTGGTCCTACCTTCAACCAGACTGGGCATCAATCCTTACTCTGCTCTTTACTGGATTCTTTGCAAGTCATGCAACTAGTCTGAGTGTCATGTTCCTCAGCTGTACACTAGGTTGTTGTGGTGACTAAATAGATATTGTATGAAAGTGTCCAGTTGGGTGCAGTGGCTCATGCCTGTAATCCCAGCACTTTGGGAGGCCGAGATGGACAAATCAGATGAGGCCAAGGGTTCGAGACCAGCCTGGCCAAAATGGTGAAACTTTGTCTCTTCTAAAAAATGCAAAAATTAGCTGGGCATGGTGGTGGGCATCTGTAATCCCAGCTACTCGGCAGGCTGAGGCACGAGAATCGCTTGAACCCAGGAGACAGAGGTTGCAGTGAACTGAGATCACAACACTACACTCTGCACTCCGGCCTGGGCAACAGAGCAAGACTCTGTCTCAAAAAAAAAAAAGTGTCCAATGTGGTGTTGAGAATCTAGTGGGCACTAGATAAATAGCAGCTGCTACTATCATTATTAATAATAGTAATACCTTATATACCATATCATCTAGAGTCTACATATTGATCATATTCTATGCATTGTTATTGTCATTTTTCTGTGACTAGATTGTAAGACTCCTAAGTGTGTGTTGGGGGGAGTGCACATTATAGCATTTACAACCCAGACTGCATGAACCGTGGCACCAAACAAAAGAACTCAGGGAATTGTTGTTCAACTTAACATCCCAACCAGTTGGCCTCCACACAGGGTCCCTCCACCCCTTGCACAGTTTCTTGGACTAGATTCAAGGGAATAATAGCGGCCAGCCTCCCACTCTGGAATCCAACCGCATCAGTGAATTGTGTTTGGGCCCCAAGAGGAGCAGGTGGATCCTGAACAAAGCACAATGCTTCTCCGGACACTTGGAATAAACATCCTCCCCCAAGAGAGGCTGTGGGCAAACATCACGGGAGAGTGGGCAGGAGGAAGACACAGCCTCACCATTTTGTTCATGAGAATCAGATTTACAAGCTCCTAACTACATCAGCTCACACATGTTTCTCTGCAAACACAATAAACCCATCTAACCTCTCTAGAGTAGCATTCTCAAACTTTGCAAAGACTCTTAACATCAAGCATTGCAATGGGGACGGAGATGGGGGTGAGGGAGGGACAGGTATTTTTCTAATGACCTTTAAGATATTTAAGATATTAAGATCCTAGAACGCTGAGATTCTAGGATCAATCATCTCCCCCAACCCCTTTTAATATAATTTTATCTATTTTGGTGTGAGTTTGACAATGCAGGTGAAAACGCTATTTTCACATAGAAAATGGAATAATGAAGGGACCTGTTTCAAGTCACCTAACAAGTGGGGGCAGCTAACGAAGGATGAGAAGTGAGATCGTTTCCAGATTGCAGGCTTTTTCCAGTAGACACACCATCTTCATAAATCCTTCATCTGTAACTTATGTTTTCCGCATGGAAACTGACCTTTAGTGCAAGCTGGAGGCAGCCTGCCTCAGATGAAGTCAATGTGAATAAGAGTAAAGTGAGCTAGCTGAGTAATTACAAACTCTGCATATAAACAGATGTGGTACTAAAGATAGGTATACAAATTGGCGGACAAAGGACTTGACTAGACTTTTCCCCAAAGAAGATATACAAATGGCCAACAAACACATGAAAGAGGCTCAACATCACTAATCATCAGGGAAATGCAAATCAAAACCACCATGAAATACCACCGCATACCCATTAGGATGGCTGCTATTTTAAAAACCCAGAAAATAACACGTGTTGATGAGGATGAGAAGAAATTGGAACCCTTGTACCCTACTGGTGGGAATGTAAAACGGTCTGGTGGTTCCTCAAAAATTCAAAAATAGAATTCCCATGTGGTCCAGCCATTTCACTTTTGGATATATCCCCAAAAGGACTCAAATCAGGTTGCCAAGGAGATATTTGTACACTTATGTTAAAAGCAGTATTATTCACATTAGCCTAAAGGGGAAAAAGCCCAAGTGTCCATCAACAGATGAATGGAGAAGCAAAACAAGGTTTACACTTACAATGGAATATCATTCATCCTTAAAAAGGAAGGAAATTCTGACACGTGCTACAACATGGTTGGACTTTAAAGACATTATACTGAGTGAAATCAACCAGTCACATAACAAGACAAACACTATGACTCTACTCATATGAGGTACCTAGAGTAGGCAAAGTCATAGGAACATAGGAACAGAAAGTTGCCAGGGTCTGGGGAGAGCAGGGAGTTGTTTCATGGGTACACAGTTTCAGTGATGGAAGATGCAGACAGTTCTAGAGATTGGTTGTACAATAATGTGAACGTACTTACTACTACTCAATGGTACCCTTAAAAGTGGTTAAGGTGATGACTTATGTTATGTATATTTTACCACAATTAAAAATATTTTGGTGGGTTTCTCTGGACAAATGGGTGTAGCATAATAGTATAAAGTAATCTTACATTTTGGAAACTATTTGGGGAACCACAACCACAAAAACTAAATTAAGCTGACACTGCTGCCAAAAGAATGACAGTTAGACTCAGGAAGACACATCCTACTAATGAGGGTGCTGAGATATGGTAAAAGGTGTTTGAGATGAGAGTGGTATCACCTTCCCTTCCCCTGGCTGCCTAGAGATGATGGCTGGGGAGCAAAAAAAAAAGAGTGATTGGGATAGACATGTCTACAGAATGCACATACAGAAGACACGCCTACAGAATCCACATAGGGTGAGCTAACATATTGGTACTCACTATGTGTCAGTGCAGAATGAGTGTCTGGATAGCTAGACTCATGCACATATATTCCTGTTATGGGCATATATTAGATGAGGAGCATACCAACATACATCAAGGATGTGATGCTCGGGGAAACCAAATCCTTCCTGCTCTTCACCAGGGTATTAGGTAGGGCCTGAGGCTCCCAACATTAGAACCAATACCTTAAGGCCCTCTGACACCGAAAGTACAAATCCAACCTAAGGAAAATTAGGAGGCTCTGCAGCATTCGCAGCTTTTGGAACAGATTGTTTATCAGACAAGCAGGGAGTAGGGACCAAGGAAAGGTCATCTTGGACATAATCGGGAGCTGTGGCTAAACATTTTGGAACAGGATAGCAAGCTGAGGATAAATTACCTTGGGGAGTAGCAGGAGGCTTTGCCGCATGGGGGCTGAGGATGAGGAGCCCTCAGGAAGAAAGGGGATCAACACTGGTGGAGAGACCAGGGGAACAAAAGCACTCATATGAGCTGCCACAGAGTTGCTTTATGAAGGGGCAGTGTGGATGGAAGTCTTCTTTGGCATAGGAACTGGAGGGGAGCTGCTCTCTTTTCACATCCCCACTCACAGATACTACCTCAATCTTAGAGGAACATGCAGAGACCTTCTCAGCTGTGGCACGAAGTAGGCCAGACAGCAAAGACCACAGCAGAGTTAGGAGGAATTATTTCTAAAAGAGCAGTAAGTTTCTGGCACTTTTCTCATACAGTGACCCAAGTTACATGTGAGCTTTGAAGAGCAACAGAAAGGCAAAGGCTCTGCAGTTAACTCTAAATTCCAGGCACAAAGAATTAGCATTCTGGCACATACCTGTGTGATACACAGCAAAATGTATGCTCCACCAAGTCGATGGGGTTGCAGGGGGAAAGATCGTCATTTTCCTTGGCTACAACTAGCAAAGAACTTGACAATTTTTTTTCTAATGAGTTGAGTTGAAAATCAGCATCAGAAACATGCTGCATGTTACTTGTACATTGTATGTTCATGTTTAAGTTAACTATTTTGCAGACTGCATTTAGTTATTCTACTATGCAAACTCATGTCTTCACTATTTCTGTTGTTTTTAGATGTCCTAAGTTAAATTCTTTCAGGTATAATTTTTACAAATTTGTAAGTCAGAGAGACCCAACTGATGATCGTAGTAAAACTACCGAGTTAGAATGGAAAAAATAAGTAATTTAAGCCCTCTACAGGCTGCGATCTTTCCAGTCTATGCATGCCAGCACATCACATATGTGATTCCCTTAGATGGATCCCCAACTTGTAAGAAAATGTTTTCTTCTGTAAGTAAATACCACTCTTTCCTTCACCTCATCCTTCCTCCAGAGCCATGTTACTGTTAGGAAATTAGATTTACTGAAACAAAGCAAGGTCTGCCAGAATCATTTAAAATAACACAATTCCCTGTACATTCTTTCCAATGCAGTAAGACATGAAACTGAAACAAGAGGCATAACTACTAAACAGGAGGAGAAAAGCAATATATTGTAGTAGATAACAAGATAGCTTACCTTAAAATTGAAAGGAATCAACTAAAAAGCTCCTAGAATCAATAGGCAAATTCAAGAAACTGGCCAAACCCAAAATAATTGTTCAAAACTCTATTAACTTTTTAATCTATCAGTGACAATCAATTTGAATATATAGTGGGAGATCTATGTGACAAATAGGCCTATGACATCCATCAAATCTAGAGAAAAAAGCTAAAGAAACAAGATGCTGAGAGATGCAAAAGAAAACCAGAAAAAATGAAGAAATTTTAGAGCAATTACAATTCAAATTTTAAAGCATTTTTTTTGCATTTTTTTCAAAAAGAAAAAAATAATTTACATTTTTTACAGTGTAATAAAAAAAGATCTGCCTGACTGGATATTACAAATACTGTAGTAAAAACATACAATAATTTTGAAAATTTAAAATAGGCAAAAGTACAGACAAACTGAACAAATAAAATATGTCTGAAGAGTATGCCCTAAGACATATAAAAACTTAATATAAGCTAAAGGATACATCCCATGCAACAGAAGAGGGAGTCATTCAACAAATAATGTTAGGAAAAACGGTTACATGGAAAATATAACATTACAGCAAAATAAATTCTATATGGATTAAAGAGTTACGTGTAAATATTTAATAATAATAAATGAAATAATAAATGAACTGACATTTTAGGTGACTAGTTTATATCTGGTGAGTGAGAAGGACTTTCTTAACCAAAAAGCAACTTAAATCTGACTCTCTCAGATTTAAAAGTACTACAGAGGAGGGGAAAATTTAAAAAGTACTATAGAGGAGGGGGAAAAAGTACTATAGAGGATGGAAAAATAACAAAATTTATTAATAATTAAAATTGTTATTGTCTTTTTTGCCCACCAGATGGGGCCTCTTACTCCCTAAACAGAAAGCTCAGTATTAAAGGCAGGCTGACCAAGCTAAACTCCCCGGACCCCTACTCAAATCCAGTGCAATCCAAGAAGGTTTAAGGGTGTTCAGAAGGGATGGAGGAAAGGGACAGGGGCGGGAGGAAGAGGTTGGGTGGGGGGTTGACTTACACAGCTGGAGGTCTTATTTTGCTCCAGGCAGATGCCCTGAGTCAATTTCACTTCTCTGATGCCTGAACATTTGATTTCTGCCTGTATTAAAACAAAAACAATAACAAAAACAAAGTAAATAAGCCAGTATCTTTGCTCCTCATTTCTTTCCCAACTTTTTCCAGTTTGCTTTCTGTGAGGTGCTCTCTTAGGAGGTTTTAAGGAAAAGGACATTTAAAATTTGTCAGGGGACTAGAGATTTCTAATAGTCATACTCTCGTCTATTTCATATCTATCCTCATCAGATGACAAAACTTTTGTTACTAGCCTGGGCTTACTGGCAAGCAGCTATTTGCAACCTTGGTAAACACTGGCTTGGATGGTGCAGGACTGGGAGAGGGGAGGATCTTTTCCCATTTGGGTTGTTTTCTCTCCAGTCAATCACAAACTTGCAGGAAGGCCATATAGGCAAACAGGGATAATGGGGTGGACCAGCAGATGCTGGGGTACCTGTTTTTTCTCCTGGCCTCCAGGACTCTCCAAATTCCCATTTTGGCTCTTTTATTTATTTATTTATTTATTTATTTATTTATTTATTTTGAGATCGAGTCTTGCCCAGGTTAGAGTTCAGTGGCATGATCTTGGCTCACTGCAACCTCCACCTCCCTGGTTCAAGTGATTCTCTTGCCTCAGCCTCCTGGGTAGCTGGGACTACAGGTGCATGACCACACCCAGCTAATTTTTGTATGTTTTGGTAGAGACGGGGTTTCACCATGTTGCCCGGGCTGGTCTTGAACTCCTGACCTCAAGTGATCTGCCCACTTCAGGCTCCCAAAGTGTTGGGATTACAGGCATGAGCCACCACGCCTGGCCCTGGCTCCTTTAAAAACAGAAAGCAGAAAGATCCCTCGGGCATATCTCATGACTGAGGCCCTCATATTTTCTGTCCTGCATGCTGAAAGCTGTTGACAGTCATAGGCCCTAAGGCTGAGAAGGCCAGGCTGAGCTCACCATCCCTGGTCTGCCCAGTTCCTGCCATTGCCAATGCCCCCCTTTACTGCCTCTCTGTGCCTGGCACAACCACCAAACCCTCTCATGTAGAGGAAATGTTATTTGTCCTAACCATTGTGGGAGAAGCAGCCCCAGCAAATAAGCAATAGTTGCCAAATATTCCCAAAGGGAAATGGTGTCCTGGTCAAAGCCCCACTGATAGGTACTAGAAAGAACCAGAGGATTGGATGGATCTCTGAGAATCCCGTTTACTCTCTATTCCCTAAAATGCAATACCCAAAGCCTGGATGGGCCTTACCACCTAACTCTACCCCTTTCCTCCTCTTTCTACTTCTCCCAGCAATATTTAAACTGTGTATTTCCGTGCTGATTCCCACATGACCCAAATCCCACTGGCAGGGATGAGGAGAGGGGTGGAGGGAAAGAAACAGCTTGCCTGCATACATATGAAGTGAGGGGCAATCTGCCATTTTTGGCCCAATTCACCCACCTTGATGTCACTTAGGATAGGAGAAGATGATGTATAGGGTTTAGTGGGAGATGTTGCAAGGCTAGTGCTAGTGGTTGAAAGGTCTGAAACATTTCCAGGTGACAGGCTAGGCTTCAAGGTTGTCTCTGGAGTTGAAACGTTGGCTGGGGTGGTGAACACTGTGCTGATTACAGAGGTCTGTGACTGGACAGAAGAGTTTGTGTTTCCATAAACTGAGGTTATCACAGAGGTAGATGTGAATTTGACTGTCGTTTCTGGAAGAGACCAAAACATGGGTGTGCATGTGTGCATGTGCTCATAGATACACAAAATCTCAGGTCATGATATGGGCATGCACTTCAACACAGAAAAGGGAGTTTGGGGAGTTAACAGTTACTTCGTGTCCCATCCCTGACCAAACTCATTTCAAGCTGTTGGAACAAGAGCTAGAATCTAGAATGTATTAGAGGTGTCCTGAAACTGAAATAGATGCTGGTCTACCTTAGAGAAGCCAAAGACCCCCAGTTTGGACCTGTACCCACCTTCTTTCCTTTAGAAGAGATCGGAGATCTCTATTGAGTCTTCTGATCCTTATTTTATCACTAAGCTAGACTCAGCATGAGAGAAGGGGTATGGAGGCATTACTGATCAGGATCAGCTCCCAAGACATGGGCCTGAGAAAACTGTCACTGAAGGAAGAATTATCTAGAACTTACTTCAGGGCACCCTAAGCATGATACTCAAGTCATTAATACTAGGGACTTGTATAATTTCCTCTGTGGAGAGGGGAGCGGTCTGAAAACATCCTAAATGCTTTACCCAAGCATCACCAGCATCTCTCCGGGATCTGACACAAATGCTGTTTTTACCTGTGATGTTTGTTGTGGCCTCATTGCCATGTTGAGACACAGGGTGCAGGCTGGTACTTCCAAGGGTACTAGGTGTTGTAGTTTCTTGGTAGGATACATTTGTAGAAACATTTGAAAATGTTCCCTGGGTAGGTAACTCTGGGGTAGCAGTACCGTTGTTGTCAAGACTCATGAACCCAGAAGCTATAGGGAAACGAGGAGGAAGAATCAGAACCTAAAGATATCAGCCTGGTGATATCACCTGATGCAATTTCCTGACTTCAGGTAGAATTCGTCTAGAACATTCCCTGCTGCCCCTTGTTGGCAGCAACAAGAACATACTCCTGGACAGTGGATTAATTTCCCACTACCAAATTTGCCCTGAGGACATAGGGAAGGAAAGATTTATATGCATACAAATGTCTCATACAGTATTATTTATAGGAGGGAAACGTGAACAACTAAATGAATTATGATAGGATAAGTGATATATGCACTTAATATACCATAATCATTATATAATCATATAAACAAACATTAGAAAGAAAAAAATTATAAAAACTGTAGCAACGTGGAACTATGAGGTGATGTTCATAGTATGTTTAGTTACATACTAAAATATAAAATTACACCTGCATAAATATTGCAAAGATCTAATGTGTGCAAAAGGTCATGCTTCTTTTTTCTTTTCACTGTATCCTCTTTTTTGGTCACTCTCCATCCAGTATACTAACTCTTGGAATAATCACTAGACTCACTGTCTCTATGCGATCCCCTTAAAAATCTATACTTCTCAGACTTCCCATTCCCATACTCCCCTCATCCTTTTGCTCATGGCCTTCAAACCCATTCGCCTTTCCTTTTCTTCTTTTAGCATGCTCTGACCTAGGAATTCAGCTAATGAACCAGGGAACACAAGGTCTGGTTTCTCATCAATGTAGTGGGAAGGTAGACAAGCTTTGTTCTGGCTCTTCCAATAACTAACCATGTAATTTAATGCATGTATGTATCTCAGCTCTCTTACCTCTTAAGTAAGGGTCTTTTCTGGCTACCTTACATGGATTGCTGGGATAAACAATGAGATAACAAATGCTAAGTTATTATAGTATTATAGTATAATGTTTTGGATCTCATTTTTCTCTGAAGATCTTCATGAGTGTCTTTGCACATCTCTTCTGTATATCCTGGGATACATACTTTTTTTTTTTTTTTTTTAAGACAGGGTCTTGCTCTGTCATCACAGCACCCAGGCTAGAATGCAGTGGTGAGATCATAGCTCACTGTAACCTTAAGCTCCTGGCCTCAAGTGATCCTCCTGTCTTGGCCTCCCAAAGCTCTGGGATTACAGATGTTACTCACCATTCCCAGTCAGTATCCTCATTAGACACAGGAAGGAGAAGCTTCTTGACTGAACCCTATGCCTCAAAGAGCCCACACCCTGTCCTGCTTCCTGTGAGGACCAATCAGGATGTACCCTCTCTTCTAGGTCATACTGTGGGGACCAGAAGTCCTAGCACTTCTTGATCAAATGGCACTTTGCTCACATCCACGATGGGCCGCTTCTCCCAGTCCATCCTGCTAAGGGGAACTGCAGCACAAGGGTGTACACCCCCAAGGCCCAGTGGTGGCCAAATGATGACTGCTTGCAGGGAGAAGAGTTAGTGCTTAGTGCTTAAGCCTGTGGGTGGGGTGTCCCAGGCACACATGCAATTGCCTTGCAATGTGAGCCAGAGTCATGGGTAGAAAGTAGATGAAGGGAAGTGGGCTGGGGCCAGGAGCCATCTCTTCCTGCTAAGCTGCACTGTGGCAGTGAATTCCAAGAATCTGAGCATCCCAAATTGAAACTTGGCCTTCCAGGTGATCACGAAGATATGTTTGTCAAGGTAAGAGGATAGAAGATATTTTATTAGTTAGTTGGCCTGACTTACAACCTTGAAATGTTTAGAAATATAGTATGTAGGCCTCTGTTGTACTCTTGCCTTGGGCCTTGTAAATGTTAAGGGTGAACTTGGTATCCAGAGTTCATAAAGGCAGTTGCATCTTCAAGGAAGAGCCTCTGAGGGTCCCAGGCCACCCTAAAGCTTGTCTCTAAATTTTCCTGATTGGGATCTAGATCTGTACTTTTCAGCGATTTCCAGGTAAACAGCAAGGTAGAATGACATCTCTTGTTTCCCTCAGGATCAAGAGGGAAGTTAGACTTTTGGCTTCACGGCCATCAACCTGGGGCCAAGAACGGTTTCCCTAAAGGTGATGACAAGGGTTTCACTCTCTCATATCTGCTTCCTTCCACAACCTGCTGCAAGCAGATTGCTATTAATGGTGACTGCAGCAATCGTGTCTTACTGTTATGTGTCAGGTAAGCAGTGGGGAGAAGGAATATCACTATCTCTGTCTTAGAGATGAAGAGCCTGAATCACCAAGGTGCTGCCCAAAAGGAAGGCCATAGTTCATGAAGGGAAGCAGCAATGGAACACTGACGTTTAGCTGACTCTTGAGTAGATGCAACAAGGAGGTTAGGCTGGGTCTAAACTGCCAAAAAATCGGAATTTATTCCCCACATCTCTGTAGAGAAAAGGATGGGCTCCCATCTGGCTTAAACAGGAGGTGGGTTGATCAAAATAAATTGATGCAGAAGCCAATCCAGGCTTCTTTCCTGTTTAGATGGGACCCTCTCACCACTCTGACTTTAAGGTCAGATTCATCTGAATTCATCCAAGGGGGCAGTATTCAGACACTGAATTAAAGGATCACCTTCTCAAGACACCATTCCAAGACTCCTCTTCTTGCCTGCTCTCTTCCTCTTCGCCCCCAGCATACTGATTACTGGGGACCCCATCTGGTCCACCCTGGCCCAGCCCTTTTCTCTCTCCAGAGGAAGCTGGGCCTGACTGAGATGATGTCATGCTTTTGAATCCCCTCCCCCGAAGGGCCTCCTTCACCTAGACAAACACTTTTGAACTTTTCCAGATGTGGAGTGAGACCTGCTGCTAGTTCTGAGGACAGAGGTGCCTGTTCCAGAAGAGCAAAGCAACTCTGGACCCAAGCCAGCTACTGACCCACTGGGGCCAGGCTCGCAGCTGCAGCAGCCCCTCCACCCACCACCAGGCCGAGCGCTGTGGAATGAGTAGCAGGATCCACCTGCAAATGAGAAAGGGACCCCAACTTCAGAGTCAGGGCTCTGACCCCAGGGTGAGCAGAGCACCCTCTGAGACACCAGGGGGACAGGACAAGTGGGAGGGCAGAAAGACCAAACTGAGTGACTGGAAATGCCTGAGCTGGTGCAGAGCAAGGGGACACCTTAGCCAGGGGCCTGGAGCCAATCCTGGCATAAACACTGCGGCACAGCAGGGAGAGTGCATCTTTTAGGTTCACAGTCTCTAGAGCCCTGGAGGAATGACATTTATGAGAGTCAAGACTGACCACAGATCTCTTTTTATCCTGTCTTCCCACACACATCCATGGCATTAAACCATCAAACACTGACCTTTCTTTATCTGACCTTCTGACTCCCAACTCTGTAGGGGAGTAGCAGGAGCCTACCAGTCAGTGAGAGCTTGTCACATCCTAAGAGACAATTGATGAAACCTCCACTCTTTTTCATTCTAGATGGGAGGAACGGTCCCTACCCACAAGGCTACAAGAATTATAGTACAATTTAAAGTTGAATAAAAAGCTCTCTTCTGTTGTTTACTTCTCAGTCCATCCTTATTAACTGTGTTTCCCTAGGGACTCCATTTGACCCTTAGTTACTCTAGTTGATCTCAACTTATGAACTGGGAGCAAGGGAGGAGACAAGGTCTCAAGAAATTAGTAAAATGAGGATTCTAAGAGATGTCACAAAATTCATGTAGTAAAAGTCATGCACTGAACTTTCAGGTACTTCTTCAGAGTCAATTATTCTTGTTTTACACATAATTCTAATAACCCTGGTTATCTGATATCCTAGCTAAAGTTGAAACGTAGGAAGAGCCTATTAGAAGCAAATAATAAGGAGAAGCAACAGCTGAAAACTAAGAAACAGAAATAAATGAAAAGCAGACATAAGTATGAAAACTCACACCAGTTTTCTTGAATCATTTATGGTAGGAGTGAATAGGTTAGATATCTATACCTTAATAAGCATTAATGATGTCACTGAGTTGCAACATAGCCACGACATGTTCATGATACATCTGAGTCATAAAGTCCTTTTCGGGGGGGTATTCTAAGAAAGCAAAGACATGTGCAATACATTTTGAAAATATTTCTACCTGCCACTAGTAAATTGAAGACTCTTTTGTTCTTTAAAGTGAGTTTGCAAATCCTCAGCGATCCAGAAAGCTCTGCTACCAAAATAACTAAATCCCCATATTTTAAGAGACTGAGTTTTCCTATACTTGGTCTTGCTTTTCACAGCCCTCCTTAGTTTTTTCCTGGTGCTGTTTCCTGATCTCCTAGCCTGCCAGTCTTATTTTGCCCATGCTTTCATATTCTAGCACCTGGATCAAGAGGAGTATCTCGAAGGAGTTCCTGGGAATCTTAGTCCATAGAGTTACAGAACTAGGATGAAGGGACATGCCAGCCTCTGCCAGGAAGTAGGCCGTTGGGAGCCACAGACTGTATCACCAGGAAGGCGGTATAGCCCAGAGACAAAGAGCTCAGGCTCTGCAGCCAGACAGGCCACATTCAAAGGCTTCTTTACCATGTTTTAGCTGTGGTTTGGGAAGTTACTTCAACTCTGTAAACCTCACCTGTAAAACAGAGATAAAAGTAGTCCCTATGTCTTAGCTGTTTTGAGGAACAAAGGAGCTAAGAAGTAGAAGCAGTTATCCTGTCTGGTAAAAGTTCAAGAAATAGTGGATATCTTTTGTTTTAGGCCCCTTCCTTCTGCTTCTCAGTGGGCATGAGATACTTATTTCTGTGACTCATCTGCCACAAAATCATATATGCTGCTTCCTCAGGATAGGTCTAACTGTCACCTCAGTAAGAATATAAACTTCTAAAGTGCTGGAGCCATTCTTATTCTTATGTGTTTTACTCCTGGTGCTTAGCACAATCCTTGGAGTTTAGGAAAAGCAATAGGATTGGAGGACAACTGTGGCAGGTGTGTTCCTGCCAGCTACCTCTAGTCATGGCAGTCTTGTTCTCATGTTATATTTTAAGGGGGAATTAATTAAATTGGGGAGTGTTCATGTGAAGATAACCAGGATTAGGAGAGTTCTAGAAACCAAGTCATATTGTTGAGGGTCTAGTGTTATTTCATCTAGATGGGGGGTTGGCAAACTATGGCCAGTGAACCTAACCTGACTCAGGGGTTGTGTTTGTATGGTCAGTCAGTAAAGAATGGCTTTTACATTCCTTTCTTTCTTTTTTTCTTGAGACAGTCTCACTCTGTTGCCCAGGCTGGAGTGCAGTGGCACGATCTTGGCTGGCTGCAACCACTGCCTCCCAGGTTCAAGACATTCTCCTGCCTCAGCCTCCCAAGTAGCTGAGACTACAGGCATGTGCCACCATGCCCGGCTAATTTTTGTATTTTTAGTAGAGACGGGGTTTAGCCATATTGGCCAAGCTGGTCTCAAACTCCTGACCTCAGGTGATCTGCCTGCCTCGGCCTCCCGAAGTGCTGGGATTGCAGGCATGAGCCACCGTGCGTGGCCGGCTTTTACATTTCTAAAAGTGTCGTAAGATAAGACAAAGTAGACCATCCATCAGAAACCATATATGGCCCCTAAAGCCTACAATATTTACTCTCTGGCCCTTTATAGAAAAAGTTTGCTGACCCCTGATATGGAAAAGAAGAATTTGGGGAGGAAAAATAAATAACTTTCTTTAAGATGCATGTTATTTACACTGGTTGAGCACCCCTAATCTGAAAATCAGAAATTCTAAAATACTCCAAAATACGAAACTTTTTGAGTGCCAACATGATGCCGCAAGTGGAAGATTCCACACCTGACCTCATGTGACAGGTCACAGTCAAAACACAGTCAACACTTTGTTTCATCCACAAGTTTATTAAAAATATTGTCTAAAATTATCTTCAGGCTATGTATATAAGGTATACAGGAAACACAAATTCATGCTTAGACTTGGGTCCTATTGCTGAGACATCTCATTATGTTTACACAGATATTCCAAAATCTGAAAAAATCTGAAATTTGAAACACTTCTGGTCCTAAGCATTTTGGATAAGGGATACATTCATTCTGTGTATTCATTCTCATTTTTCTGCAGTGCCAGTGATGTGCAAAGGATCTCGCTCAGTGCTGTGGAGAGTACAAAATGAGAGCTGGATCTCTTTCCTCCATTAGGTGTTAGTGTCATTGTCATTTAAATCAATCCCTCAAGGAGTTTGTAATCTAGTGGGGCCCACTAGAAACATCTTCAGGTATTGTCATGAAGGACCAGATTAAATCTGTACCAGCCCAAAGAATAGAATTAGAACTAATGATTAGAAGTTATGGGAAGGCCAATTTCACTGCAATCCAAGGAAAAAGTGTAAAATGATGTAGCTATTTATAAGAATGAAATGAGCCACTTTGGGAGACAAGTGATCCATCCATGCTTCCTGCAAACACTCAGGAGGCATCCGTGTTAGGGGGCTGTCCAACTCTGAGGCCTACCATGAATTTCAGTCATCCTAGACTAGAACAAGGGACTGAGCAGATGCCTTCTTAAGCTTCAAAGGCTAAGCTAAGGTGTGAGTATATATAAACCAAGGGTCTGTGGCCTGAGGGTTCCCAGTGTACCGAGATTTCTGTTTTATATTCAAATAGCATGTCTTGGCCAGACACCATGGCTCACGCCTGTAATCCCAACATTTTGGGAGGCCGATGTGGGTGGATCATCTGAAGTCAGGAGTTCGAGACCAGCCTGACCAATATAGAGAAAACCCGTCTCTACTAAAAATACAAAATTAGCTGGGCATGGTGGCGCATGCCTGTAATCCCAGCTACTTAGGAGGCTGAGGAAGGAGAACTGCTTGAACCTGGGAGGCAGAGGTTGCGGTGATCCGAGATCACACCATTGTACTCCAGCCTGAGCAACAAGAGAGAAACTTCTTCTCAAATAAATAAATAAATAAATAAATAAATAAAATAGCATGTCTTGGACCCCATCCACTTACTGTGGAACCCTAATTATTTTGAAGATTCTCTGGGCACCTACATTTCTCCCTGTCACCTCTTCCTCCATTTTACCAGCACCACAGACTCCTGGGTTGTGGCTCCATGGCTCAATGGCTCCCTGTCCGCACTAGTATACCACTTCACCGTAAGTTAGCCAAGGTAAAGTAAGTTACTTTACCCTCCCCAGAGAGCCACTAACACAAGGCTAGTGTGTGTAGCCAGTATTTACTGAAAGGTTGAGGGCATGGAACGAGATTACAGGGCAGCCCAGGGGAGACAATGGCATAACCCTGAAATATTAGACATTACTGTGCTAATGAAGCCATGTATTAAAAAAAAATTTCCTCCCAGGTCTTTTCCATCCTCCACCCACCACTGTCCTGCTATGACTCCAGGCACCTCTCCACCCTTTATATGCTCTTCCTGGGCTCTGGAGTCCTATCAGCCTTGTGTCTCTTGTGCCCACCTAAACACAAGGCTTCACTTCATTTTATCATGCTCAGCAATTCAGCCTCCTGCCTACCTTTGCTCATCCAGGATTGTCTGGGGTTCTAGGCTTTGTCACTCAAAGACCTCTTAAGACATTTTCTTAAATCAGCTGCCTAGGGATGCCACTCCTCTCTAAGAAGTATCAGTTTGATTTCATTTTTCCAAATAAAGAAGAAGCCTACTTCCCAATTAAGCCCAAAGGCCTTTTCCGTTGCATCTGAAGGGAAGTAACTCATTCCGACGGACTCCAAGAGCACAGGTACTAAGAAGTACACCTTTATATGCATCCCTATTTGTTTGTCTCTCCATCTTTCCAACATGCACGCATCTTTCTCCTTAGCACAACGTCCAGCTCTGGGACTAAAAGTCATAGATAATATGTTTTCATTTATTAGCTAAGGAGGGAAGAGAATGTTCTCATTAGAGAAGTCCAAGCCCACAAAAATATGGAATTCTCACAGCCCTGGCGACTGTGAGAATTTTCTTCTGGAGGGTGGTGTTGTGTTCTTTTTCCATACCTTCTTATTTTTAATTCTCCACACTGCAAGCCATTTAGTTAGATCAACCAAAGTCAATGAGAGAGGGAGGCCCAAGTACCTGAGAGTGGAGTTGGGTAACCATCCAGCCCTGAAAGTAAACCCAGGCCCTCCAGCTCAGGGTCTAAAGGAAATCAGGCAATGAGACCAACGGTAAGAAGTGGAATTTGTTCCTCATTTTCATTTGTTTTCGTAGGACTCTGCAGCTGAGTTTATCTGCTGCAGTTTGGCACTTCTTGCCCTAAGCTTTTTGAGACAAAGATTGCGAAGGAAGGAGATGAGGACAAGGGAATGAGGAGGCCCAGGAGGTGGAGCCAAAGGGATAAGAAAAAGAGGCCCCAGGCCCCTGTGTGTTTTATCAGCCGAACAGAAATGCTGCTGAAGACATGCATCTGCAAAGGTGGTGCCAACTGGGTTGGGTCTACAAGTGCGGAGCACTGGGGACCACTGAATTAGTCAGAGGTCCCCAAGCCTGCTCCTCCTCTGTCGCCATATGGCAGAGATTCAAAGGGTGGAGTCCTCTCCCCTCTGGAAAATAGCTGATAAAATTCTTTTCCCTTTTATTTTTCCCCTCTTACATGTAGCCCTGGACAGGATATGGGTGTGGGGTCAGCAGGCACGAAGGACCCAAAGGAAGAAGAGGAATGTGACGGGGAGGGCCTGGGGGTGTTGTTAGAGTGAGGATAGGGACAGGCCTTGGAAAGCTTGGAGGAAATAGATACCCTGAGCCTGACAAAGGGGTTCCCTAATTACCTGAAAGGCTTCCTGCTCCAGCCAGCACTCTGGCAGTGCTGCCTGGTGGCCCTTGAGCCCCTTACCCTGACTCTGCTCTGTGATCTCCCCCACTTCCAACAAAGACAGCCCACTTCTGGTTAGTTGCAGTGCCTATGCACATGCCACCTTCTCAAAGGGACAGAAAAAAAGAACTTCCCAAAACAAGCTCTTTGTTGGGGTAAATGATGAGAAAACAAACCACAGAAATCCCCTCTACCCTAAATTTTACAATAATAATAGCATTTCTGCAATGGCCCTATGGTAGCATTTCAAGGTACACTCAGTTATCTCATTTATCCCACAATGTATCCCAGGACTGAAAATGACTCCTAGTATTAACAAAACAAAACAAATCCAAGCAAAAACCCTAGAAAGCTCTTGGGAAGGGCATAAAACTACAATTGGCTCAAGTAGTCTGGCAAGGCTGGGAATGGGGCCTTGTGCCTCATCCCTCCCCACCAAAAGCTGGGATATTCTCAGCATATCAGTCCAAAGTTTTGCCAAGGTTGTGTTGCTCCCCCAACCCCAACCTCGGCAGGCCAAGGCGAGACTGGCACTTACCAGCTGAGGAAATAAGAAAAGGGTGGACCTCATTCGGCTGAGGACCAGGTCATCACAAGCTGTGTAGCCAAAGGAGAATGGAGCATCTGATTGGAATCTGCACCACTGGCCAACTCACCCCTGTTTTTTTGTTTTTTGTTTTTTGTTTGTTTGTTTGTTTTGAGAAGGAGTCTCGCTCTGTCTCCCAGGCTGGAGTGCAGTGCCAGGATCTTGGCTCGCTGCAACCTCCGCCTCCTGGGTTCAAGGGATTCTCCTGCCTCAGCCTCCCGAGTAGCTGGGACTATAGGGGTGTGCCACCATGCCCAGCTAATTTTTGTAATTTTAGTAGAGATGGGGTTTCACCATGTTGGCCAGGATGGTCTCGATCTCTTGACCTCATGATCTGCCTGCCTCGGCCTCCCAAAGTGCTGGGATTGCAAGCGTGAGCCACTGCGCCCGGCCGACTCACTCCTGTTATGAGGGCCTAGTCTAGCACCCACTCTAGAATTTTGAAACCTCATTGATAGCTTTTCCTTGCCCCAAAGCACACATCCAGGACTGCCAAACAGGGCAACCCAAAACTTCTCTCAGAGCTTCCTCCAGCCCAGGGGCAGCTGTCCCCAGCTGGGCGGACCCAAAGATGGACAACAGAGGAGACTGGGAACAAAGAGGTCTAGTCCAGGTCACTCTGCAGGGCCACAGTGGGTGGCCCTTAGGATGTAGTGAGAGTACAGAATTGGGAGCCCTAGAGTGCTGTAAGCAAAAGGGAGAGCAATGTACAAAGTTTCAAAAGTTTCAAACCTTCCAAGTGCAAAGAGATGAGGTGGAGAATGTCATTCCCCAAGGAAAGTAATCGAGTATAAATATTTACCGGGTGCCTATTTTTTTTTTAACCGAAGTGAGAGCAAGACCTTAAGAGTAAGGATATGTGTAGGTGAGTGGGGGCAGTGTTCTAACCCATCCACTAGCTTTAGAACTTGGAGCAGGGGCAGAGGAAGAAAACTCCAAAAGGTGACAAGTTTTGAAATTTGTGCAGGGGTGACGGTTTTTGGTAAGGCGAGCGAGGCTGGGCGCAGAGCAAATTCTGTCTACTTCTACCTCCTCCGCGGTGGGGTTGCTGAAGTGGGAATTCAAACTCAGCTTCCCAATCTTAAATGCAAGGTTTTTGTTTGGTTGGTTGTTTGGTTTTGTTTTTCCTTTTCACGGACTGTTCATTCCGAACACCCCTGGCCTGGGACCTGGAGCCTCATCCCTGATTCGCTTCCCTCGAATTCCTTAATGTCCACTTCTGGCTCTCCCAGTCCCTGTGCAAGGTGGGCACACCGGCCCCTTCCCAGCAATCCGCTCCGTGTCTATACTTTCTGAATCAACCAAGAGCCACAAAACTTTTCCTGCTTCTCTCCTCCCCAGTCTCCCGGTTCTGGCTGCAACTTCGCACTCCGCGCCTCTGGCAACCAGAAGAGACCCTGGCATCTCCAAAGCGCTTTATCTCAGTCCATTGGAACCAGTCGTGCTGACCGATTCACACCTCGGCTAACGCACACTCGCGGGGGTGATGGCCTTCCCTTCCCCTCCCACCCCCGTCAGCTCCCAGGTGAGGCGCTGGCCCCGGGGGGAAGCAGCTGTGGGCGGCAGTGCGTGGGTTGGGCAGGGGTCCCTTCCCTCCGTGAGACTCTGCTCTGCTGTTCAGCCTCCCAGAAAGCCTCCACCCTCCCCGCGGCGAAGCCAAGCGGCCGCGGCGCGCGGGCGGTACTCACGCAGCAAACTCAGCAAGCAAAGCGCGGTCCAGCCCCGCGGCATCCTGGGCCCTGCGCGCGCGCCCCTGCGGACCAGCATCCTTCCCGCGCGGCTCCTAGAGAGACGCACCGAGTGGAAGACACTACTCGGCTTGGCCAGGACGCGCTCTTCCCGCCCCCTCCGCCCGGGAGAGGGGTGGGGGATTCTTGCTTTTTTCCTCTCTTCTCCCCTCCCTTTTTAGTCTTGGCAAGGCAGCGCCTCTCCTTGGCTGCTACTAACTTGAGCTCCCCTGGTTGGTCCCAAAGGCGGAGGGCGTTAGGAGGGAGGCTGGGTTGCCGCCGTCGAGGCCAAAAAAGGTGGAGGTTTGTTCGGGCTCCAGATGCCTCGTTCAGCTTTCTGGAGAGGCCCCATCCCACTTCTTCAAGCTCCACTTCCACTTAACTTTTAACCCCTTTGTGGCAGCCTTGCCGGTGGCCAGGGCAGGGGCAAGTTTCCTCCGATTTTTTCCCCACTTTTCTTTCCTTGTGATTTTCCTTTATTTTTAAGTTGTAAGCCAGTAACAATCTTGCAAAAGGAATCTACTGTAAGGACCTCAGTTTAGAAGTGTGAGCATTTCGTTAATCAGGTAAAACTTAACCACAATGTGGCACATTTAGTGATAGCCTCACCAGATCCTGTGCTGTGTGTGAGTGAAGCGTCAGGAGTGAGCAGGTATACGTGACTATAAGTATTCATTTTGGCTGTCCAAACCATTCTTGGAGACTTTTTCTTTCTTTTCTTTTCTTTTTTTTTTCCTGCAAGACCTTTTTGTGTTATGTTAACTTTTTGCTAACTTGTGTTAACTTTTCCTGTGACCTTCCATATTTCCCCATTTAGTTCCCCATCACCATCATCCTAAAGAAAAAGGACTTCCCTGGATGCCTTCTCACCAGTTATCCCCTCTCCAGCCCTGGGTCTAAGCCACTAGGGATTTCACCTTGCTCTCCCATCAGAAAAAGGACTTTCTGTGACTCCATCCTCCACCACTTGATAGATCCTTGAGCTTCCTGTTCCTCACCAGTTCCTCTGGGTGTTGGTTGTACTGAATAGAAGAAACTCTGAGCCGGGTAGGCAGCCTAGTCTTGGGGACGTAGAGACGGGAGAAAGGAGAAGCCAGCCTGGGCAGATGATGGCACCAGGGGAGGATCAGATAAGGTATAACCTGGGAGAGGCTGCTCTGATATCCAGAGCAGAATCATGAAATTATAAATACTCAGTTCAGGCTCTTCCATGATGTCTGTACCACATAGCCTAAAGGGAAAAAAGAGAAGCCAGACCAGCACTCTGTGGTCCTTTCTGATTTCTCCGCAGACACTCTAGCATTATAAAAGTAGCTTTACCTTTATAGTCCATCTCAAACCTACTATGCGTTGGGGTTGCACAGGAGAAGGATCCAGGTCTAAAAACAAACCCAAAATCTCCTTATTCTGGTCTTGTTGCCTAGCATTCCTTTAAACAGGGAACAAAGTCTTTCATCACACAATAAGAGCAAAGGCCTGATATGCTAATTTGATTGAATACAACGGAATGGTATGAATCTGTTTCAAAGTACAAATGATGATTCAGAACTGATCACATAGTGATGGCAAGGGCCTGGGGACAGAAGGAGTGGCAAACATGCATTTTAAAATCAGTCATTGGTCCTTGGGACTCCCAATTAACAGGGAAAAGGAGTTAGTTCCAACACTGCCAGGCCCCCCACTCCCCTCAACTTCCTCAGCTCCAGGGACCGCTCGGTCTGCTTCAGGCATCCAGTGTGCAGTTGAGAACAAATGTGGGGTTGTAATCCCTGCTAGATATGAAAGCTAATTTGGTCCACTTTAACTTCCATTTCCAGATTTTTTTTTTCTGGTTACTTTAAATACCATTTGTCTCCCATAGCTGGACCACGGGAAACAGGGGAAATAACTTGTCTTTCTTTAGTACCTGAACTTCTTAACTAGCTTTGGGAGCAAAGAGAGAGAGAATGATTCTGTGGAGCAGAGTTTTCTCAAAGCATGGTCTACACAGAATCAAGGGTGAGGGCCAGAATCTGTACTTTGAGTAAGTATTCTCCATGACTCATGCACACTGAGGTTCAAGAAGCCCTGGTATAGAAAGAACACTTGCTGGGTACAAGGAGCAAGGGCGAAGTGGATGTCAGGCTTCAGGGAGGAAAAATAGAAGTAGGGGATATGGGAGGCTGGCAAATCCCTTCCTCTGAGAGACCAGAGCTGTTTCTTCTCTGGCTTGCAAAGGTTATGGATAGCCCCAGAACTACAAAGCTAGACAGTGATTGGCCACTCTTCATATTTTCCAGGGTCACTGAGACTCATCACCCCAAGCACACACACCCTTGCCCAAGCCACCCCCAAACACACGTTCTGGCCACTGGACACAAGGGTACCCAGGGACCCCAGCCTTACATTTCCTCACAGGCCAGGTAGAGTTGAGCTATGTAGTCTCTTCAAAGTTCTAGCCTTTCTGGGCTGCTCCTCAATTCTCTGCTCTCCTGCTTCATAAGCTGTTGCTAGAAGATGTTAGCTACACCGCACAAAATGGAGGATACAACAGAAATACACTGAGTCAGAGGCTGTCTCAGGCCCTTTACAGACCCTTGGAGGTCACAACCACTTTTACTATTAAACATCCCTTACCTCACCCCTCCCCAAAATACACACGCATCATGTCAATCAACCTAAAAGAGGACCTCATCCTATGTCAAATATGTCTGATGTTAAAAAAGTAAGGAAAATGGTTGTTATAATTCTGAATTTTAAAATATATTCATTTTGTTCTTATAATTCAAACTTTATTATATTTACATGAAACTATGAAAGAGTTGAATTGCAGTTTACAAGTTGAGTTGACATTTTTGTAGGCATTTAATGAAAAATTTGTGAATTTTGATTTTCCAATTTTATATTTTGGAACCAAGACTTTTTTCCCACATTGCAAACTTTTTTTTTTTTTTTTTTTTCAGTTTGGCAGGGATCCTTAGCGGTAGAAGTGTTCAGATGCTGGACTGATGCAGTGACAACCTGCAAGTCCCTTTTTTCCTCTTTCCACCTTCTAGTCTCCCTCCAGTGCCTCCTCTTGGCAGAACCTAACAAGAAATCAGCTGACAAGGGAGTCTGGGAACCAGTGTCCTGTGGTAAGTCACCATGATGCAATGTTTGCCTCCATGATAGGCAGGCTATTCCAGAGGCCACAGATCAGGAAGACTCAGACCAAATTATGATGATCAAATCACAAGGGTTATGGAATCTATTTAAAGCATAGAGCCAGAACCAAGGGGACAGATTTACACAAGGTTGATACACTTGGGAATGCAAGCAGGGCAAAAGTCCTGCACAGTCTCACAGCCTCAGTCATGTGTTTCGCTCTGCAGTGGTATAGTTATGAGGACCAGAACTGAGATTGAGTAAGGGGATCAATATGAGGAAGATGCTTAGAACCAAGGTATACTCATTCTATTGAGAGATGTTTAAGGGTAGGTAGGCTTGGCCACAGGTCTTTGTCAGTGTTCTGGGAAGCCATACTTTTTGCCAGTATTTCTTGGGTAGAGCTTATGGGGGGCCAGAAGGTGCCACCAGTAGGTAGTCAATTTAGGGATGACATGGACACCAGCCAGAAGGTGGCATAATCTATACCTCATGGCTTATGATTTGTTTTTTCCTATCCTTTTCTGCCTGTAAGTAGCACTCTTGTTTGTTCCATCCTTTTGTAGTCTATTCCATTTATTCTGTTTTACATGTCTTGCAGGTTACTAACTTACTATAGATTGAGAATCCCAAGTCTGAAATTTGAAATGCTCCAAATTCTGAAACTTTTCGAGTACTGACATGGCACTCAAAGGAAATGCTCATTGAGGCATTTTGGATTTCAGATTTCTGGAATGGGGTGCTCAACATATAAGTGTAATGCAAGTATTCCAAAATCCAAAAAGTATCCCGGATAAGGGATACTCCATCCTGCATTTTTAGCACATCTTCTGAATTCTGCCTATGTCTCACAAATGACTTGCTTACTTTGTATCTATAGTTAATACATCTGATGAGTTTCACCCACCTGCTTTTCTTGTCCTCTGTATGAAACTGAATATTCTCATGTAACAGAGCAAACACACATTGTAGCCAGTATTATAGAGAAAAGTACAGAGGAGTAGGTTGGGGCTGAGGGAGACAAAATAAATAACTAGCAGAAAACCAGTTTTATGTATTTTTCATACAGCTAACCATTTTCCTAGTTGCATTTACTGAGTAGTCTCTTCTTTCCCTTCTGACCTGACATGCCATTTCTGTCGTGTTCCACATTTCATACGTATGTGGGTCTGGCTCTAGGCTCTCTAGCATTGGTCAGTATGGACACCCCAAGTGCCTTCGCCATTGCCTTATTTACTGTAGCATTAAATAAGTTCAGACATCTGTAGGGCAAGTTTTCCTCTCCCAAATTGTCTTCAGAAATGCCCTGACTATTCTTGGCTCTTTGTTCTTCCAAATAATAATAATAATATACAATTTTATAAATGCTTATCAGATTTCCTTCCAAAACAGCCTTTTGGATTTTGATCAAAATTCCTCCATAGATCAACCTGGGGAGAACGGAATCTTTCCTTCAGAGAACTTGGTATATATCTCCATTGTTTGAGTCTTCATTAAAGTTTATAATTTTCCCTGTAATGGTTTTAATTCATTCATTATTGTTAAGTGATAAATTCATTTAATTCATTGTTAGATTTATTCCTAGGTAATTTATGTCCTCTAAGACTATGGCAAATATTATCTTCTTTTTAATTATTTTTGTTGCTGGTGTATGAAATTGCAATTTATTGTTTTATATTAATCTTTTATTGAGCTACCTTATTAACTTATCTTATTAGATTGAAGTATTTCTAGATTATTTTGGGTTTTATATGTAAATGATCATATCACAAGCAAATAGTGATAATTTTATGTTTCCTTCCCAATCCTTCTGCAACTGATTTGTTTTACTTAAGTTAATATACTGGCAAGAACATCTAAGGATAGAAAGGAGTGGTGATCATGCACATCCTCACCTCATTCCAGATTTTGAAGTGTAAGCTTCTAATGTTTCCACATTTGCTTAATTTTTTAAATGTGCTTTTTATTTATTTAGTTATCATTTTTAAATTATTATTTTATCTTAGAGACAGGGGCTTGCTATATTGTCCAGGCTGGTCTCGAACTCCTGGCCTCATGTGATCCTCCCACCTTGGCTTCTTAAAGTGCTGGTATTATAGGAATGAGTTGCTGCAACTGGCCTATATGTGCTTTTTATCATTTTAAGGTTATTCTCTTCTATTCCTAATTGACTAAAAGATTTTTTTCTTTAATAATGAACTAATGATGATTTTTTTCAAATGCCTTATCTATACCTATTAAAATTACATATGGTTTTTCTCTTTTAATATGGTAGTATGGTGAATTACATTTGTAGATTTTCTAACATTAAATCAACTTTGCCTTCTTGAGTTAAACCAAACTTTGTCAGTGTATTATCTTTTTTATACACTGTAGAATTTAATTTACTAATACAATCTTCTATTTATGATTTTTGCTTCTATAGTCATAAATGAAACAGCCCTGTAATTTTTCCTTTTCTTCTTGTCATAGTCTGGTTTTGGTATTGGGGTTACAGAGTCCATATAAAATGAGTTGGAGAGTATTTCCCTTTTTTTCTATTCTCAAGAAAAGTTTTTTATGAGACTGGGATGATCACTTCCTTTTAAGATTTGTGGGAACTTGCCTGTAAAATCATTTGGGCCTAGTATTTAATGTGGGATTATTTAACAATACTGCTTGCATTTTTGTAATTGTTGAATTCTCAGATTTAAAAAAATTTCTTCTTGAGTACATTTTGTTATTTTCCTAGGAAACTGAGTATTTATCAAACCTTTCAAATTGTTGTTGATAAAATTCCTATTTGCTTGTTAATCTGTACTTTATCTAGAGTGTGTTCCCTTTTTAATTTGTGCTATTACTTCTTTGTGAATAATTTGTCTTAATTTATTACAGATACTTAAATTATAAAAGTTTTCAAATTACTTACATGTATATATACATATGTTAAATATACTTATATGTTACTTCCAATGGGTTGGAGGTGATTCTTATGTTGTGAAAACGCCCTTCTCTTGCGCTTGAGCGGGTGGAGCTGTTTCTTAGAAGGGAGTGAGCTTGGACTGATCAACCAGTGCAAGGCGCCCAAGATAATCTGTTGGTGTGTTTCATAGACCCCTTGGGATGTTAGCAAAAGCAAAAATGTAATGATGTTCAGAACAGAGCAGTAAAATGCAATGCCTTGTGTCCCCCTCCCCTCCAAGCATAATTCTAGGGCTGCCATCCCAGTTTTGCCTCCTAAGGGACAACCTTGTGAGTGAGTGAGAAAGATGTGGTGTTTCAGCTAGACTACTACAGAGTCCACAGCTTTTCTGTCATTGCTACAGCTATTAAGACCTAGTGACCTGAAGCCAAGAGCGGTGGTTCATGCCTATAATCCCAGCACGTTGGGAGGCCGAGGTGGGTGGATTACCCGAGGTCAGGAGTTCAAAACCAGCCTGGCCAACATGGCAAAACCTCGTCTCTACTAAAAATTACAAAAATTAGCTGGGCGTGGTGGTACGCGCCTGTATTCCCAGCTACTTGGGAGGCTGAGGCAGGAGAATCGCTGGAACCCAGGAGGCGGAGGTTGCAGTGAGCCAAGGTCGCGCCTCTACACTCCAGCCTGGCTGACAAAGTGAGACTCTGTCTCAAAAAAAAAAAAAAAAAAAAAAGACCTGGTGATCTGACATATAAGTGGGGAAGAAAAGCATGTCACAGTATGACGCTATTTTGTTGTGGCAGAGGTAAAAAGTCAGTGTCAGTGGTAATACATGTCTCATATACACACATAATGATTTGTCTCAGTGTTGGAAGTGTGGGTAATTTTCAGTTTCGTCCTCACTCCAGTATGCAACACATACATTTGTTTTTCACAATAAACATGTGCTACTTTTACAAACAAAAATACATAAAGCTATATTTCTGTGAAAAGGAGAAGATGTGGCAATTATGCATTACCGTAGTTATTTTCTTCGGATTTGTCAGGTCCTGAGCTGTCCACAGGAGCTGTCAGGTGACAGGGGAAACAGCTTGGCCAAAGGGCGAATATGTCAGCGATAAGGGAGACTTAAGTAAAGATTCCTTACACCCTGGGAAGCAGCTCCCTGAGAACAGCTCAGAAATCCATTGTTTGTGGATTTGTGTCTGTAATTCTGGTATTGTCTCTGCTCATTTCCCTCTGTAGTAGCTAAGCTTTCAGTCAATCTTCCTGATGGTGTAGGCCTAACTCAACATTGCTCATGAATACTACCGACAGCATTTATACCTCCATTAAAGCCAGATATCAAAGGGGGTTCAGGTTACCCTGGGGGTGATGTTGTCATTGATTCAAGAAAACTCCATAATGAAGGATTTATTCAGGAAAACAAAAATAGAACTACTTTGCGAAAGGTCCTTCCCCACTTGGAAATTCTCTTTCTGGTGCTACCTAATGGTAGGTATAGGAAAGCAATCTTTTTTCACTAAAGTGTCCAGGAATCTGTCTCAAGGGGCTGGATCTTCCCGAACCCAATATTGCATCAGTTCACGGCCCAACAGGCTGTGAAAGCCAGGGACTTAACAGCCTTTGTCTCTGTAAACCCAAATAGAGAGCTTTAATGGCATACATCTTACGGAAGCCAAAGCAAAGAGGATGGCTATTTTTAACTTGAGGCAGGAAAATGTGGCTGGAAAGGAAACATCTGTCCCAAACTATTCTCTTGAGCTTTATACAGAGGTCCCATCTATCATGAAGCCATCAAAAATAAAATAAGGTGTTGGTCCAGGCCTGGGTCCGAAAGAAAAAGGCAAAGCTTCCCTACGTCACATTTCTCCCACTTCTAGGCTTTTGAGTTGGGCCTATGGCCTGGAAGAGACCACCTCAGAGGCAGAGCATGGGGGCATGGCTCAAGGACAACCTAATTCCTGTGAATTTTATGGACCCCTCCTAGTTTAACATCTTCATCCAAAATGGCCCCACCCTTTAAGGTTCAGATTTTGCAGACTCTCCAGCCAGGAGCCATCAGAGGTCTAGTACTAGGAGAGTAAGACATTCTAAGGTCTCGGTGCTAAGGTCTCAATTTGGAAATTAGGTCTTGGGACCTTAGAAGGTCTTATACTTCTAGCACCAGACCTCTGGTGACTCCTGACTGGGGAGTCTACAAAATTTCCTTGGCAGTTCTGGCTGTTGGTCCTTGAGCAGAGAAGCCATTCTTTCTTCCATAAGCAGCAAGAAAGTTCCTTATTTTTCAAAGACACGCCAGTCACCTGTGTGTCTGACTGAGGTGACAAAGGGGCAAGTGTGAGCCTACCAAGCGTCAGAGATGTTTTTGCCTCAGTAGAAGCACTATACATCATTCTGAGCACATAGAGCAAGGTCAAATTCACCCATCAGAGGCTCAGGATGAATTAAGTGTTGGAGGAGGTAGGGTTGCAGCAGATAGTGCTCAGGTTGTGCACTGCACAAAGCCAGGAGCTCCATATAGACTGGAATCTATGTCTATTCACATAGACAGCAGATGGAGAAGAGGAGAAGCAAGACAGTGTGTTGTTGGCTCAGGTGGTTCTCAGTCTTTGTCTTGGAGAACTGATCAGAATATTCATGGTGCAGTTCTGTGTTCTTTTTCCCATTTTCTCTTCCTCTTTTTCTTTTTATTTGATTTTTTTTCTCTTTCCTGTTTTCAGTCAAAGATTTGGCTAGGAGAAGAACACTTTACTTTTTTTTTCCAAATTGAGTAGAGAGTTGCCAGGAGAAATGACAAGGAAAGAATAAGAGTAAAAGAGCATGTAGGGATCCACTCCCTCCCTCTCTGGGTGTACTCTCTGCAGAGCAGTGTCTGAGCAGCAGGGCTTGGAGGGTGTGAAACAGGGTTGCCAAATTGCATAAGTCTCTAAAAAGATCCATATGTCTGGGCTCTACCAAGCCTCTGAGCTCAGGGAGGGGGCCAATAACATCATCTGCTGGATGGGAGTGCAGTTCTCTTCCTCTGGGGAGGATTAGATGTCAGCTTGAATAGATGCTGTTAGGCTTTTGATGACCCAGATTGGGAATTCGGGGTGTCGGTGTTTGGGGAAGGGAGGAAAGAAGAGGAGCACAGAGCAGAGCAAATAGGAAAGATGAAGTTTGTAAGCTAGAGTCTGTGAAACATTGAGTAGGAAGGGAGTTTAAAAACCCTGGGACATTGAGTTTTCTTTGAAATTTTTTCCCATGCCAGGACATTTTTGGGGAGCCACTGTGCAGATGAATGCCAAACCATTTGCCCACTTCATGGGAAGTCTAGACTCTTTATTCCCACAATTAACTCTCTATAGACAAGGGAGAGCTCACTGTCTTCCCCGCCACTTCTTCAAGCTCTAAACTATAGCTTCCTCTGGGGTAGAGGGTAGCAGATGGTGTACAGCTGTGGGACACATCTGGTCTTGCGGGGATCAGAGGAAGACACAGAGGCCAGTTGAAATCCCAGTGGCTACCCTGGAGGCCTGTCTACAAAGATCAGGGGTGGTACCCCTGACATCTACCCAGATCCCATCTTGGGCAGACTTCACATTTTTCCTTAGTCCCCCATGCCTCCTCTCTACTCCAGCTTTAACTGAATTACAGGGAGATGATTTTGTGAGAGTGGCCAGGCAGCTGCTTCCCAGATGTGTGCATTCTGCAGAAATGGTCATATCCAAACTGGAGAGCTTTGGGAGGATTGGTTGGGGATATTAGGGACAGGGCCTTGGAAATTCCTCTGAGGATGTATTAACCTATGGGGAACAAGCCCAGCGACCAGCTGATGACCCCAGGGTAAAAGATTGGAGCTAGAGAGGGATTGGGAAGGTCCTGGAATGTTCTCAGCTCTCCTTTCCAAAACTCTGTGTCCAAACATATGACTTTACTACATTTGCCAGATGACCTGATTCATTTAGCATGTATGTGTGTGTTTTCTCAACAAGTAGAAAATTATCTTCTCTAGGAAGGTCTTGAACCTACCACTTCTCACCTGGAATATCAGTGGCCTCTACTCTGGTCTCCCTAGGACCATTCTTGAGTTGCTCCTGTCCATTCTTCACACAGCAGGTAAAGAAAAGCACAGTTGGCCCTCCGTTTCTCTGGGTTCTGCATTTGTGGATTCTAAAAATATTCCCCCCAAAATCGCATCTGTATTAAACATGTGCATACTTTTTTCTTGTTATCATTCCCAAAACTATACAATATAATATCTATTTACATAGCATTTGCATTGCATTAGGTATTATAAGTAATCTAGAGATGATTTAAAGTATCCAGGAGGATATGCATAAGTTATATACAAATACTCTGCCATTGTGTATCAGGGACTTGAGCATTTGCAGATTTTGTTACCCACAGTTGGGGGAGGGAATCCTGGAGCCAATCCCCCGTATTTAAAATTAAAACTGGACCATCTCATTCCCCTGCTGAAAACACTTCAATAGCTTCCTTTTTTTCTAAAATAAAATGGAAAACTTTTCTCCATGGCTTATAAGACCTCAAGGGGTTGGACTCCAACCTGCTTCTCCCACCTCATTTGGTAGATCCTTCCCCTCGCTCCAGCTCCTAAAACTCCCCAAGCTCTTTTCCAACCTCAAACCTTTACTCAAGCTGTTCCTTTGCCGAATTTCTTCTCTCCCCTGCTCACTTTCTGCAAAGTGGCTCCCCCTCCTCTTCTGGTCTTCCCTAACCACCCAATTGAAAATAAGCATCTCACCATTCCCTTTATTCCCTCTCACAGTACTTTCTTCTAGAATCTCATCATTGCCCTTACCACATTTTACAAGTGACATTCACTTGTTTGTTGCTTGTCTTCCCCATTTGATTGTAAGCAACATGAGGGTAGAAACCAGGTATATTTTGTGCTCTGGTGCAGTGTACACCAAAAATAGACATTCAACATTTATTAAATGAATGAATAAAGTGTATCTTTATTTTATTTTGAGTATCCTCCACTCTATTGCTTCCTAAATATATATTTTTACTTCACACATCAGTAAAAAAAAGTTTTAGTGTTAGGGACTGTCCTAGGATTGTCATATACTATTAGAGTCATTTCATAAAGCAAGGTCTTTTTTGCAACCTCGAGATAAGAAGAGCATACATTCAGAAAAAAATAAAACCCTCTCCATGAAAGCACAGTTGGTAATATGACACGAGTGGTCTTCGTTTTACTGAGGACCTGCAAAGATGTTGGCATAAATAGCCCCTGTCTGCTGACTGACATTTGGAAACCTTAGCCCAAACGTATAGCTTGTATTCTATGACCCCACCTGGCCCTGGTAGAGTTCTTAGTAGAGTTCTTAGTGACTCTGAATGTCCGTGTGGCCCCATACAGATCATTTCCCTTCTGTGGGGCTCAGTCCTGACCTATGCAGGGTGCTAGGGTTCTAAGAAGAAAGTGAGGTGGTGACTGAGGCCCCACTCAGCTTTAGATATACCCACAAACTGTAATATAAGAGAGAGGCAGAGCTGTGCCTTCTACTAAGGGGACTACGGGTGACCCATATCTGAGCCATGCACTGCTGCTGGTTGCAGGGAGTGGGGTGGTCATTTATTTGTGTGAAGGGCAGCCAAGGGAGAGAGGGGAGGCAGCCAGAGTGGGTGGCCGATTCCTGTCTCTGACCCTTGGGGCAGCGCCTGCAGCTCCTGCCAGGCTCCCACACCTCGGCTAAGAATAGCTCAGCTCTTTCCTGCTGGCCTGCAGTCCTCCGGAGCCCAGAGGAAAGAGAACTGGACTGTCTAACCTCAGGCTAGGCTGTCCCTTCCGGCGATTCTCTCCTTCGCTCTGGGGACAAAGGCCTGCCAGGGATTTCAGTTCTAGCCTCTGATGTTCCCATCTAATAATAGTGCTGTGGGGTACAGGGCAGGGTGGTATTCAGGCCACCCTCTAAGGGGTGGGAAGATGGAGGCCTTCAGACTGAAATCAAATGGTTCCCAGTGCTAAGGGTTGGAGAATGGATGCCTAGGGAAGAGAAAGTCATCGGGGACTTCAGCGTAAGCTGAGGTCAGAGGAGGGAGCATCAGACTGAGTCTCAGAGGGAAAAGAAGTTCCTGGTTCTGAGTAGGACCAAGGTGGGCCTGGGCACTTGTGTGGACACTCAGCTCACAGCTGGCTCTGAAGCAGGTGGCCTGAAAACTACACTAGGAGAAACGCCCTAATGACAGATGGTTTACTGGTCCAGAAAGCAAATCTCTGCATCAGGGACTGGCTCCCGTTCTGACTCCTGAGGTGACATCAGGACCAGCATTAAGCCCCAGTGACTAAGGTGACCATATAATTTATCGCCCAAACAGGGGCACGTTTGACCATGAACAAAGACTGTCAACAATCACACCAGGATGGTGTGCACAGGTGGGGATTGTCCGGGGAAAGCCAGGACTTCTGCTTGCTCTAACCACTATACATTGCTGAGTGTCTGTGTTCCTCTCTCCATAGATTTCTCAATAAGAACACATGAGATGCAATCAATTAAAAAAGAGCTTTAGAGACTGAGGCACCACAGGAATACAGGGATTATAACCAAGCTTCCCTGCATTTCACGGGTCCTGTCCCTTCTGCATAAATCAAGTGGAAGGAAGTTAATTATAGCCACAGAGCTGTGCTCCAGGGCTAGGAAAGAAAGGAGAACCTTTCTCAGGAAGTCCCATTGCTGGGCTGGGCTGGGGGCCGCCTGGGCAGAGAGATAAGCTGCGCCGATGGGTCGGGAGCAGCAGCCTTGGTGGTTTTCTGCCGCCGAAGTCCTGGCCTGCAGGAAACCCCAGGGAGGACCCCTGCATCCTCTTTTACAGCAGAATAATCTTAGCACCCAGTTAACTGCCCACAATCTATACAACTCACTTGAACAAATAGGCTTAATGTATATTAATTAAGGAGTTTGTAAGGGGCAGATACTCTGTTATGTGTCAGATTCTGGGTTAATTTCTGCAGATTTAACAACAAATAGGACAACAGTCCTGTCTTTTAAGGAACTCACAGTTGAGCAAGGGGAGGCAGAGGGCTAAATAATTTATGAAGTGATGGAACAATGCTGTTTTGATGGTGATACCTGTTTAAACCACTCTTTAAACGGATGATAACTGTCTATATAGGAGCACATTTGCCAATGCAGTGAAATTTACTGAGAGGCACGGTGGAATATTTGTGAGGAATATAGGTTTGGAGTCAGTCAGACCTGAATTTGAATTTCAGCTGTTCTAACTCACAAACTGTGTACTCTTTATCCAGTTTCTTTTTTCCATTCTCTCAGAATGTGATCAGTAAGTTTCTTAACCCTTCAGAGTTGCCTACTCTGTAAAAGGTAGATAGTAATAGCACTCACTTTATAAAGCAGTACTTCTACATTTTAACGTATGAACAAATCACCTGGGAATCTTGCAGAAATGCAGATTCTGACTCAGCAGGTCTGACCTAGGGCCTGGGGTTCTGCATTTTTAACAAGCTCCCAGGTGATGCTGCTGCTGCTGATCTGAGGACCACACTTTGAGCAGCAAGGTCATAGGATGTTGAAAGATCAACTAAGTGCTGAGCACACATCTAGCAAATAAGTTTAGTGCTCAATAAATGTGCCCTATTACTACTCAAATGTAATGTGAAAAATGGTCATTTATCTTCATTCAAATATCTCCCCCATGTTATCATAAATTAAAAGAAAATGTCTTAAGTCAGGGAAGCACTCCCTGCCACATCTCTAGGGTACCATATGAGGCCAGTTCTTTTCATCGTCCATGACATTGGGAAGAAGAGAGGAATGGAAGATTCAGAATGTATTTCTCATACCATATAGTTCAGCAGTAACTTTATGACCCCCAAATCCTCCTGATGTGAGGAGTGGTGGGAACTCTTGCTGAACTGTGACATCTCTCCTGCCAAATGTGGAAGCTGTGAAGGCACCACTCTCAGACCCAATATGAACAGTAAATACTAACGGTAAAGTGCAGATATCCAAAACATGACTAAAATCCACATATTTTTGTAAGCTTTGGTGGTTTTAAGATATGGCCCCAAATTTGTCAATGCCCTTATTATTGAGAGGCAGGCTCTAGGTCCCCCACCCCTTAAATCTGAGCTAGTGTGTGACTGCTTCAACTGAGTAACACAGCAGTGCTGCTGTGTGACTTCTGAGACCAGAGCAGAAAGCGCCCTGCAGCTTCCTCCTGTCTCCTTTGGAATGCTTGCTCTCCTGACACACTCCCTGTCTTGGATCCAGCTGCCGCGTGCCACATGAGAGGTCCTGCCTAGGCGCTCTGGTTGACAGCCTCAGCTGAGCCCAGCCTTTCAGTAATCCCAGCTCAGGCGCCGGGCATGTAAACGAAGGAGCTGCCAGATGCTTCCACCTCCCAGTTGTTCAAGTTACCCCCAGCCATTCCAGTTTTCCCAGCTGAGGCCTCAGGCACGGTGGAGCAGGGACAAGCCCTTCCTGCTGTGCTCTGACCCACACACTTCATGAAGAGAATAAAATGCTTGTTGTTCTATGCCAGTAAGTTCTGGCATAGAGCAAGTAATTTGTTCCTCAGCAACAAATAATTCAAACATAAACATTATTTTTTTATTTAGTATAAAAAATAAATCTGGTACTTAAGCAGAATACGTATGGAAAAAAATTTTAAATATCGTATTTAAAAATTAAAGATAATATAAAATTAGCTGGGCATCGTGGCACATGCCTGTAATCACAGCTAGTAGGAGGCTGAGGCAGGAGAATCGCTTGAACCTGGGAGGTGGGGGTTGCAGTGAGCTGAGATGGCACCACTGCACTCCCGCCTGGGTGACAAGAGTGGAACCCCATCTCAAAAAATAAATAAATTAAAAAAATAAAAATTAACATTAACATTTATCTTGATAAATATATCTTATTTACATATATTAAATATTATACATATTATTCAATATTATTTATTTGTTATACAGTTAATAGTCCATTAGGTTTTTGAAAGTAAACATCAAGAGCTGGGCCTAGTGGCTCATGTCTGTAATTTCAGCACTTTGGGAGGCCAAGGCAGGAGGATTGCTTGAGGCCAGGAGTTCAAGACCAGCCTGGGCAACATAGTGAGACCCTGTCTCTACAAAAATAAAATTAGATGAGATTTTGAGGTTACGTTGAGCTATGATCAGGCCACTGCGCTTCAGCCTGGGTGACAGAGCAAGACCCTATCTCAAAAAGAAAAAGTAAGCATCAAATCTCTAACAAATTAAATTTAAATTCCACGATTAAGTATTACATCATTAGCAGAGGGAGAGTACATAGTGGGAAAAAAATCAGGCTTTGGAATCAGACAGAACTGGGTTTGAATTCTAACTTTAAAATTTACTCAGTGTGTGATCTCAAGTGGTTTATCTTTCTATATCTCAGTATTCTAATCTATTAGTTTAATAATATCTACTGCATAGGGGCTGTGGAAGATATTGAATAAAAGTAATTATAGCACATAATATAATTATTGTTGTTAGTATTTCCAGAAAGATCTCTCAAGAAAAATGTGTAGTGGTAATTACAAGGTAGTTACAAGGGCAATAAGTGGTAATTGTAAGATGGGAACCTAAGCAACCTGTCGTGAGGCAGACAGAGAGGTTTCTGAGGAAGCCACCCCCTAAATTGAGTCTCAAAATGAGTAAGAATAACTAGGTTAGATATTCTCAGACTTTAGAATTTTTTAAATTTCCAAAAAATGTTGGGGACAAATCTAGGGAAAAATACTTTTAAAAAATCAATTTTCTAGGATGAGAGCAGTGGCTCACACCTATAATCGCAGCACTGGGAGGCCAAGGCAGTAGAATTGCTTGAGGCCAGGAGCTCAAGACCAGCCTGGGCAATATAGTGAGATGCGCTCTCTCTCTCTTAGAAAAATTTAAAAAAGCAATTTTCTAAAATTTTATGTAAATTCAAAGGGCCAATAATAGCCAAGCCAATCTTGAAGAGAACAAAGCTGGAGGTCTTATATTTTTATAAATCAAGATCTATCATAGAGGTAGTAACTAAGGTAGTGTGGTTTTGGAATGAGGATAGATAAACTGATGAATGGAACAGAACAGAGTCAGGAACACACTTACCTGTGTTTGGTCACATGATTTATGTCAAAGGTGACAAATCAGAGATGATGACGATACAGAAGAGCAATAGACAAGTGTGCAGAGAAGAAGAAAAGAGTGTCACAGAACCCAAGGGATTAAGGAACTTCAAGAAGGAAGGAGAGATCAACAGTGTCAAATACAGTAGTTGTCTATGAAGCTGAAAAGTTACTTTGAATTTGACTTGCAATGCAATGTTAATGTCTTAAAATGGGCTCTTCCAGTCAAGTGGACAGGAGTCAGATTATAGTGTTTTGCAGAGTGAGTAGAAGTGATGGGTTAGACATAGGAAGCCTGGGCTGTTCCTCCAAGAACCTGGATGAGAAGGGAGGCAAAAAATTTACAAGTGTATAAGGAACAGGTGTTCCTTATTTATTTGTTAAGGCTAGCGGAGACTTGAGTATGTTTCTAAGCTGAGGAGAAGATGAAAGTTGAGAGGAAAAGGAAAATACATGTCATTGAAGATGTATTATATTGCTAGTCCAGAGGAAATCCAGTGTATTCCAGGAGAGAGGAAGATTAAGAGTCAAGAATAACAGGTGGATAAACTGAATTTTATGTATCTTTAAATGTCTCCAGAAACTATTATAATAACATTTCAGTTAAAATAGCCTCAATGCTTGGACATTCTCAGTTATGTCTCAAAGGTCTTTTAGCTGCCTAAAAAATGTATTTTGAAATACTTCAGGCATAAAAAAGACTATAAAGAGCATTGTAAGGAACTTATGAACTCTCCATTCACCTTAAGAAATGCGACATTACCAGAAGTGAAGAGTCCTTTAGCTCTCATTTCTGATCATGACTTCCTCCCCTCCCCAATATCTTCAAAGGGAATCCTCATCTGGAGTTTGCTGTTTATAGTTCCTGAGCATTTCTTTATACAAAACATATATTTGCACTTATCTCTAAGGGATATATATATTGTCTTACAATTTTGCATATTTTAAGTAAATGGCATCATGTATATTCTGCAACTTGGTTTTATTCCTCAATATTTTTGTAAAATTGACTTTTGCTGACACATGCAACTCCAGTTTATTAATTTTTACTGGTGTGTGGCATTCCATTATATGGATACAACATAATTTATTTATCTTCTCACCTATTGATATTTCCAGTATTTTTCAATTACAAACATTGACACAACGAACATTCTTGTACATGTTACCACGTACACATATGCAATAAATTATTTATGGTACATACATACCTAGAGGTAAGATTGCCGAGTTGTTGACAAGTGAATATGCTCAGCTTCAGTAAAGCTAAATTCACAAATTGCTATTTGGTGTGGTTGTTCCTATTGATCAGGTCTGGAAAATTCTCAGCAATTATCTCTGCAAATATTCCCTTTGCCCCATATCCTCCATCCTTTCTTTCTGGAGCTCTAATTGAATACTGATCAGAACTTCTCAATATAGCCTCTATATCTCTTAACTTCTCTTTCATATTTTCTACCTCTTTGAATATCTGAGCTGCATTTTAGCAATTTTTTCATTTCAATTTTTTGTTTTTTAGTCAGAGTCATATTCTGTCCCCCAGGCTGGAGTACAGTGGCACAATCTCGGCTCACTGCAATGCCTGCCTACCGGGTTCAAGCGATTCTCATGCCTCAGCCTCCCGAGTAGCTGGGTTTGCTTGCACCACCATGTCCGGCTAATTTTTGTATTTTTAGTAGAGATGGGTTTTGTCACATTGGCCAGGCTGGTCTCAAGCTCCTGGCCTCATGTGATCCACCTGCCTCAGCCTTCCAAAGTGCTGGGATTACAGGCATGAGCCACTGCCCCTGGCCTTCATTTCTGTTTTAATGTTTTATCACTTCTTCACCTTTTGGTTAAGAGCAAGTGTATTATCTATTTTACTATTTACTAATTCAACTAATTATGTCTTCAGTTGTACTTTATTTTGAATCATATATTTTAATTCTAATCTTTGATTTTTATGTTACAAAATACATCACACAGGTAGAGTACTCCAAAATTGGATTGCTTCAAGTGATGTTTATATTTTTAGGGTACAGATTATTTATCAGATGTATGTTGTAATATCTTCTCCCAGTCTGTCATGTGTCCTTTTTAAACATGATTTCTTTTGCTCTGTAGAAGTTTTCAACTTTAGTGTAGTCTAATTCATCAGTCTCTTCCTTTACGAATTGTGCCTTTTGTATCTTGTATAAGTTTTTTTTACATTGTAATCTTAAAAATATCATCTTAGAATTTTATCCAAAAATCTTAAGTTTTTTACATTTTGTCTTTAATTCTATTGGAATTAATATTGATTTTGTAATGATGTTGGTATCCAGTATTACTACTTTACATGAGGCTCATTGGTCCAGCATTAATTAGTTACAGGCATACCTCAGAGATATTGTAGATTTAGTTCCAGACCACTGCAGTAAAGCACATAGCTCAATGAATCAAGTCACACATTTTTTTTAATTTCCCAGTGCATATAAAAGTTATATTTACCCTATACTATAGTCTATTAAATGTGAAATAGCATAATGTCTATAAAAACAATGTACATACCTTATTTTAAAAATATTTTATTGCTAAAAAATGCTAATGATCATCTGAGCCTTTGGTGAGTAGTAATCTTTTTGCTGGTGGAGGGTCTTGCCTTGATGTTGATGGCTGCTGACTTATCAGGGCAGTGGTTGCTGAAGGTTGGGGTGGCTGGGGCAATTTCTTAAAATAAGACAACAATGAAGTTCACTGCATTGATTTAATCTTGCTTTCATGAAAGATTTCTCTGGAGCATAAGATGCTGTTTGACAACATTTTACCCACAGTAGAACTTCTTTCAAAATTGGGGTCAGTACTCAAACCCTGCCCTGTCAACTAAGTTTATGTAATACTCTAAATCCTTTGTTGTATTCCAACAGTGTTCAGAGCATGTTCACAAGGAGTAGAATTCCATCTCAAGGAACCACTCTCATTGCTCATCCACAAGAAGCAACTCAACTCCTCGTCTGTTAAAGTTTGATCATGAGATCACAGAAATTCAGTCCCATCTTCAGTCTTCACTTTTAATCCTAGTTCTCTTGTTATTTCCATCACATGTGCAGTTACTTCCTCCACTAAAGACTTGAACCCTTCAAAGTTATCCATGAGAATTAGAATCAACTTCTTCCAAACTCCTGGTAATGTTGATATTTTGACCTCCTCCCATGAATCACGAATGTACTTAATGGCATCTAGAATGGTGAATCCTTTCCAGAAGATTTCCCATTCACTTTGCCCAGATCCACCAGGGGACTCACTATTTATGGCAGCTACAGGGTTACAAAATGTATTTCTTAAATAATGACTTGAAAGTCAAAATTACTGCTCGATTCACAGGCAGCAGAATAGATGTTATCTTAACAGGCATGAAAACAACATTCATCTCCTTGTACATCTCCATCAGAGGTCTTGGGTGACTAGGTACATTGTCAATAAGCAGTAATATTTTGAAAGGAATCTTTTTTTCCTGAGTGGTAGGTCTCAACAGTGGGCTTAAAATATTCAATAAAGCATCATATAAATAGATCTGCTGTCATATCTGGGCTTTGTTTTTCCATTTATAGAGCACAGGCAGAGCAGATTTACCATAATTCTTAAGGGCCCTAGGATTTTCAAAATGGTAAAGAAGCATTGACTTCAGCTTAAAATCATCAGCTGCATTAGCCCCTAACAAGAGTCAGCCTATCCTTTGAAGCTCTGAGGTCAGACATTGACTTCTGCTTAGCTATAAAAACCCTAGATGGCATTTTCTTTCAATGCATGGTTGTTTCATCTACATTGAAAGTATGTTGTTTAGTGTGGCCACCTTCATCAATGATCTCGCCTAGATCTTCTGGATAACTTGCTGCAGCTTCTACATTAGCACTTGCCACTTCACCTTGTATATTTATGTTATGGAGATGGCTTCTTTCCTTAAACCTCATTAACCAGCCTCTGCTGGCTTCCAGCTTTTCTTCTGCCACTTCCTCACCTTTCTCAGCCTTCACAGAATTGAAGAAAGTTATAGCCTTGTTCTGGAGTAGGGTTTGGCTTCAGGGAATGTTGTGGCTGGTTTGATCTTCTATTCAAACCACTAAAACTTTCTCTATATCAGCAATAAGGCTATTTCACTTTTTTATCATCTGTGTATTCATTGGCATAACAATTTTATTTCCTTCAAGAACTTTTCCTTTGCATTTACAACTTTGCTGTTTCATGCAAAAGGCCTAGCTTTTGGCCTTTCTCAGCTTTCAACAGCCGTTCCTCTCTAAGCTTAATTATTTCTAGCTTTTCATTTAATGTGAGGCATGTGTGACTCTTCCTTTGTACTTAAACACGTAGGAGCCATTATAGGATAATTCACTGGCCTAATTTCATTATTGTCATATCTCAGGAAATAGGGAGGCTTGGGGAGAGGGAGAGAGAAGGGAGAATGGCCAGTCTGTGGAGCAGTGAGAGAACACACAAGATGTATCCATTAAACTCTCTGTCTTTTATGGGCACAGTTCATGACATCCCCCCAAAATGACATTAGTAACATCAAAGATGACTTATCACAGATCACTACAACAGATATAATAATAATGAAAAAGGTTGAAATATTGCAAGAATTTTCAAAATGTGACACAGAGGCAAAGAGTGAGCACATGCTGCTCAACAATGGTGCCAATGAACTTGCTGGATGCAGGGTTGCCACAAACCTTCAAATTGTAAAAAACTCAGTGTCAATATGGAGAGACACAATAAAGTGAGGACTGCCTGTCAGAGTCAGTCTTTTCTTTATCAATCTTAAATGTCATTCCAATCTTAGATAAATGTTCCATGTATGTATATTTCTAGATGCTGTAGTCTATTCCATTCATTTATATTTCTATCCTGTGTCAATACCTCACTATCTCAATTACCATAGCTTCGAAATAAATCTTGATATATAGATGGTAGGGGCAATCCCCTCCACTTCATCCTTTTTCTTCAAAAATATCTGGACTATCATTGAACTTTCACTCTTTCATATAAATTTTAGAATCAGCTTACCCAGAAAAACCATGCTGGCTTTAAAAAATTATAATTATGGCAAATAAAAAGATTAAATTGGAGATGCAGGAGAGTTTATGATATTAAGTCTGTCTATCTATACATGAACATCACAAAGCTAATTCTTTAAGTTTTTTTTTGAAATGAAGTCTTGCTCTGTTGCCCAGGCTGGAGTGCAGTGGTGCCATCTTGGCTCACTGCAACCGCCACCTCCCGGGTTCAAGCTTTTCTCTTGCCTCAGCCTCCCCAGTAGCTGGGACAACAGGCGTGGGCCACCATGCCCAGCTAATTTTTGTATTTTTAGTAGACATGAGGTTTCACCGTGTTGGCCAGGCTGGCTCAAACTCCTGACCTCAAGTGACCTGCCTGCCTCGGCCTCCCAAAATGCTGGGATTACAGGCATGAACCACTGTGCCTGGCCTGTTTAAGTCTTTTTTAATGTCTCAAGACATTTTATCATTTTCTACCCCAAATGAATGCAGTTTTGCTGTTAGATTCATTCCTGGGTAACTACTGCTTGCCATTACCAATGATATCTAAATAATTTGTTGTGTCGTATAGGAAGAAACCCATTTTTGTACATTCATACAATCAGCAACTTGGAACTTGGATTTATTTTAAATATACACAATCAAATCAACAGTGAATATGACAGTTTTATCTCTTCTTTTACATTTATTTCTTTTTCTTTTCTTGCTGCGCTGGCCAGAACAGAAAGCATGATGTTAAATAGAAGCAATGAATCTGGACATCTTTGTTCTGTTCCTGATTTTAAAGGAAATATTTCTGACATTTCACCAGGAAGAATAATTTCCTTTAAGTTTAGACCAATGGTTCTCAAACTTCTGTGTGTTTTAGAATTTCCTTGACCACTCAATCACAACAATCACAGATTGCTGGATCCCAGCTCCAGGATTCCTGATTCAGTAGGTCTAAGGTAGGATTGGAGAATTTTCATTTCTAACAAATTTCCAGGTGCTACTGATGCTGCTGGCCCAGGGGCCATGTTTTGAGACTCACTGGATTAGACATAAATTTTGTTGGAGACTGACAGCTGTTTTCAATTCTCTTACCTATTCTTCCCTTCCCCCTTGGTAATAGAACCCTGAATTTAGTTGAGAACATTGCAGCCCAGGGAAAAGACTACAATTCCCAGACTTACTTATCGTTAAGTGTGGCCATGTGACTAAGTTTGGGCCAAGAAAATTAAAGCCAAGTGTTGTTTGAGATTTCTGGAAGACTCCTTAAAAGGGAGATGTTCCGGTTATATATTGCTATGAAGGAAACTGCATACTCTCAGAGGCTCAAAACAAACATTTTACTTTGCTCACAGTTTCATAGATCAGGAATTCAGAAATGGTCTGGCTGGATGGTTTATCTCTGATCCACATGGTGTCAACTGAGATAGCTAGGGCTGGGGCATCCACTTCCAGGATGACTTCTTCACTCTTATGTCTGGCACCTCTGTGCTCCTCGATCTCTTATCACATGACTTCTCTTCCTCCAGGGCCTTTCTATGGAGCTTGGGCTTTTCTCACAGCATGGTGGTCCCAGAATAATCACCTTGAGCCCGGCTGCTAGGAGGAAGGAAGCAGTAGCCATGAGTCCAGTTAAGGGATATGCCTGGAATTGGCACAGTGTCATTTCTGCCATATTTTATTGGTCAAAGAAGAAAATCCTTCAATATTCATGGGAGTAGAGAAATAACTCCATTCTTTGGTGGGAGAATGGAAAGGTCACATTGCAAAAGAACATTTGGGATGAGAGATATTGCTGTGGCCATATTTGGAAAATAGGAACTGCCACAGGAGGGATGGGAAGCAGAAGTATGATGGCTGTCTTGGACCATGAAATTGAAGCCAAGCATTGTGATGGCAAAGTAGAGAGAAGCCTAGGTCCCTGATGATGCCATAGAGTCACTATACCATCACTGGTGTTTGAGAGAAATGATTTTTTTTCTCTTGATATTTGAAGGAGATTTCTGTTATGTGCAGATGATTCTAATCCTAATTAATACAATACTCTTTTTAACATAAACCAGTATTAACCTTTGTTAAATTTTTTCCAGAATCTATAGCAATAATCATATTGGTTTTTTTTCTTTAATTGGTTAGTATAGAAAATGCTGTTAGTACATTTTTTTTTTTTTTGAGACAGGATCTTGCTCTGTCACCCAGGCTGGAGTGCAGTGGTACCATCTCAGGTCACTGCAATCTCCACCTCCCAGGTTCAAAGAATTCTTCTGCCTCAGCCTCCTGAGAAGCTGGGACTACAGGTGTGCACCACTGCGCCTGGCTAATTTTTGCATTTTTGGTAGAGACAGGGTCTCACCATGTTGGCCAGACTGGTCTCAAACTCCTGGCCTCAGGTGATCCACCCACCTCAGCCTCCCAGAGTGCTGGGATTACAGGCGTGAGCCACCACACCTGGCCAGTTTTCTAGTATTTTGTCTTGAATTCTGTATCTCTGCTTATTAATGGGTTGATATGTGATTTTTCTTTCTTACTGTCCTAGTATGCTTTTGCTTTAAAGTTCTATTAGCCTGGTAAAATAAGTGGTTAGTATTTCTTCTTTGTCTATTATCTGGAAGTATTTATATAAATTGGAATTACTTGTTCCTTGACTGTTTTACAGAACTCACCACTAAAATGTCTGAGTCTTGGGTGAGAATGTATCTGTGTGGGTAAATTTTTATCCTTATTCAACTTATTTAATAATTATAGCAACATGCAGATTTTCTATTTATTTTTTAGTCAGTTTTGATGTGTAATATTTTCTCTTTGATCTGTTTTCAAACTTTAAAGTACATAATTGTTCATACTAGTCTCGGTATTTAAAACTATCTTGTATATCTACAGTTATGAGTTATTTTCAAATTCCAATATTTATTATTTTCCTTCTTTCTTTTTTAAAAAAATTAAGGAAGGAGGCCACCTCTCTTATTGTCTCATACCTCAGAAAAAGAAAGAGGAAGTAAAAGTTAAAGAAAGGCAAAAATGAGATCAATAAACAGCCCTGTGCTGCACCCCAGACCTGGTCTAGTAGTTAAAAATCAACCCCTGACCTAACCACTTGTATTATCTATAGATTCCAGGCATTGTATGAGAAAGCACTGTGAAACTTTCTGTTCTGTTCTGTCTTGATTACTGATGCATGCAGCCCCAGCCACGTACCCCATGCTTGCTCAATCAATCATGACCCTTTCACATGGACTCCCTTAGAGCTGTAAGCCCTTAAAAGGGGCAGGCATTTCTCTCTTGGGGAGCTCTGTTTTTTGGATGCAAGTCTGCTGAAGCTCCTGGCTGAATAAAGCCACTTCCTTCTTTAACCCAGTGTCTGAGGGGTTTTGTCCACAGCTCATCCTCCTGCAAAATCAATCTAGTTACAAAGTGTCAGTCTTTAAAATCTCAAAACATCAACTTTTGGCTTTGTTCTCTTTGTGCATTCTGTTGTTCTTTTTGCAATTTCTTAAGACATTTAACTCATTAATTTCCATTCTTATTTTCTAATATAAATATTTAAGTCTGCAAAATCGCCACCAATATCTCCTTTTCTGTGTTACACATAATTGGATATGTAGTATTTTACTACCATTTAAGCTTACGTTTTTTCCAATTTCCACCTTGATTTATTCTTCAGTACATGGATTTTTTAGAAGCATTTTTAAATTTTCAAAAATCTTGGATTTGTTATCTTTGTAAAGAAACCACTTAGCTCCATTTTGGTCAGAATAGATAGTGTCTATGATATGACAACTTTCCTACTTACAGAGACTTGTTTAATAAACTAATAATACATGTTGATAAGTGTTCCTTTACTTGAGCAGATGTACATTTGCCAGTTGGTAGTTTCAGAGTACTATATACAGCTACTGGAATAAATATTGATTATATCACTTAAATCTACTGGTAGCTGATTGACTGCTTAATCTATTAATGTAATATTGTTGTGATTGATTGCATTAAAATCTTTCACTAAGTATATAGATTTTTGTTGTTTTCTTTTCATAGTTCTATCAATTTTGCTTTGTATGTTTGAAACTATATTATTAGGTATAGAATGGGATAGAATTAAAACAATATTTAATTATATTAATCTTCAGTAAGCTTTTTGCATTAAAGTCGATCTTGTTTGATATTAATATAAATACATGAGTTTTTTTCTATCAGTATTTGCCTGAATTACTAACTTGCCTCTTACTTTTGACATTTCTGCATCTTGTGTCTTTACATTTAAGATGGGTCTTTTGTAAACAGTATTAAGCTGACTTTTTATTTTAATCATCTCTATCGTTTAATTGGTAGGTTTTTAGTCTACTTACAATTATTATAATTATTTATTCATTTAGATTTATTTCTATCATTGTATTTCATGTTTCCTATTTGTCCTACTTTTAAAAACTCTTTTTTCTTTATTTTCATTTTTTTAGATAGGTCATTTTTCTTAATTCAATTTTTTTCCTCTTATACTAATTTGGAAGTTCAGTGTTCTATTTCAATTATTTGAGAGGTTAGACTTAAACTTTTAGCAGTATATTAATCTTAACAAAGTCTAAGATTAATACCTTCATTTTTTTCAAACATTCAAGGATTTCCCCTTTTGTGTTACAGGATATTGTATTCTGTTAATTGAAATCTATTTTCATTCATTTTTCATCAGCAAATATTTATTGAGTGCTTACTGTATGCCAACACTGTCATAGTAGCACACAATACATCAGTAAACAAAATCTTCCAAAATAAGAATTCTTAACCCCCACCCTTATAAGGTCAGCCTATAGTTAAGAGTTCTAGGGGAACTTTTTTTGTCCCTACTCCACCACACCCCCAAAGTCCAGATGCAAAAAGAAAAATTTCCTTGTGATTTATCTTTATATAAACTGTCAGAAATAAAAGTGGAAATAAACAATTAAATAGCACATACATACACATTTGTAAAATATGTATAGATATATGTATATGTGTGCATATCCATGCACGCATATAAACAAAGATTTTATCAGAATATATCCCTGTGTACTTTAAAGACTCCTATTTGTCACAAAGCTGATTATCAAAAATAAAAGGAAAAAAAAGCAGAAAAAGAAAAAAAGCATACCTTCTCCTCATTTCCCCTGTCTACATCAGCCACATTCCTCTCTTTTTACAAATTCTTTTGGCATTTACCTCCATATTTATTTTAAAAACATGCTTATATTACTACTTCCTGATTTTTTCTATTTCTGTCATTACAAGTAAATTCCCGAGGTTGGCAGAGGAGGTTTAGCTGTTTTGCTTTACCTCCTCCATTATACCATTTACTCTCCTGCCCCACAAGGTTAATTCCAGGGATGACAATACGTGGTTCATTTTGCACAGTTATATCCTAATACTGATGTGGACAATCTTTATTTCGCATCTACTATTTTAAAATTATACAAACTCTATAGGTGAACAAAGTAACTTAAATATTTTCTGCCTTTTCTGAACTATTTTTTTATTTTCCCTGCTAATAAACATAGTCTTGAGTTTTTACTTGGTGTGGGTTTTGTTCATCTATATAGCTGAGTGCTTGATAAGTCTTTTGTCTCTGGAAACACATAACTGGCCATTTGGGGGTGTTAAAAGAAAAACTTTAGACAAATTCAATTTAGCAGAGTTTATGTATTTATTTATTTATTTTCAGACAGAGTCTTGCTCTGTCACCCAGGCTAGAGTGCAGTGACATGATCTCGGCTCACTGCAACCTCCGCCTCCCGGGTTCAAGTGATTCTCCTGCCTCAGCCTCTTAAGTAGCTGGGATTACAGGTGCATGCCACTGCACTGGGCTATTTTTTTTTTTTATTTTTTGGTATTTTTAGTAGAGACGGGGTTTCACCAGGTTGGTCAGGCTGGTCTCGAACTCCTGACCTCGTGATCCGCCCGCCTCGGTCTCCCAGTGTGCTGAGTTACAGGCGTGAGCCACTGTGCCCGGCCAGCAGAGTTTGTTTAAGCAAGAGTGATTCACGAATCAGGCAGTAGCTAGAATCAATAGAGGTTCAGAGAGCTCCACTCAGCAAAGTGGAGCTCTCTGAAAGTGGAGCTCTTTATAGACAGGAGGAAGTGACACACAGAGACAGCTTGCTTGGATACAGCATGGCATTTGCTGTATTTGAACATGGTCTGATTAGCTGGCAGCCTGTGACTATTATTTGTTATAAGAATACTCTTAAGGTGGTTTGCCATTTGTGTACACGCTGAGGTTGCAGTTTGCTATGTAAAAATTCAAAATACAGAGGCAGCTTAGGCCAAATTTAATTGAATTTAATAAGGGAAAATATCTTGAACTATTTTGTTGTCTGGGTATTGGACTTTCTGAACTAGCCCTCTGGCTTTCTTTTCTTTTCAATAATATTTTCCATCTTGTGTTTTTACTCTATCCTGGGTGATTTTCAACTCTTTTATTACGTTTTGTTTTCTGAATGTTGTTTCTTTTTTTTGTTTTTTGTTTTTGGCATTCTGGTTTTTTTTTTTTTTTGTAATATCTTTTCTTCTCTCATTCCTTTGAGAAAAGATATTAGTATCTTTCCACATCTCTGTGAGAATATTAATGATAGTTCTTTTAAAAAATGTTTTTTCTCCCTGCATAGTCTCCATTTTTTCTAAGTTGCTTTACCACCCTGTTTACATGTTTGTTTGATTTGGTTTATATGTATCATGATAGAGGCTTTCTTTGATATCTGATGGCCCTTGAGTGTCTGTTCATATTTACTGGCTATGGGAGCACCAGTGACCTGATTGGTGAGGCTCTGAGAGTGAGGGTTTGGGTTGCAGCTGAGACATATCTTTGGGGAACTCCTTGGCATCAGTAGCTTTGGATCTTTCCTCTTGTGTTTGTCAGAGGCTCCAGGAAGTTTTCCATTCTCCTGTCTGGGATGTTTAGTGCTAGCTGCATATGTCCTGGGAACTAGTGAGAGAACAGGCTAAGGATCTCAGCATTCAACTGATGTTCTGTTTTCAGAATTATGCACCTGTCCTAAGCAGACGCTGATGTCTGGCAGTCTAGTGATTCTTACATCCTTCAGTGACTAGATCTCTGGTCATTTTTCTGCATTTGGGAAGGGACAGTTACCTATGGTATGGGAGGAGGAACAAGTAGGAGGTGGGTGGAAATGTGGAGATTAACTGTTTCTTAAAATGACCTGCAATCAATTATTTCATTTTTAACTTTAACTTTACCTTCACTTCCTAGAGGTTCCTCCTGCCAGTTCTAAGCTTTTGGGAGATTTTAAAATTAAAGGTCTGTTTTTGTTTGTTTGTTTGTTTGTTTTAGCTTTCCCCAGTACAGGATTAGGATTCAGCCTTCTACAGTTCTTCTAAGTCAGTTACTGCTCTTCCATATGTTTTTAAGCTTCCAATGTTTTACCATTACTGATCTGTCCTGCACCTCTTTATTCTTGTGAAAAAATTTTCTTTGCTCCCATTTTAGTGGGGTTTCAGAAAGGCATAACAGTAAATGATAAAATAATCCTTTGTATGCATCCAGAAGTAGCATGCATTTTTTCTGATTCTCCTTCAGTGAGTAAGTATGGTTCTTCAGTAAGTGTGGCCCTATGGTTCCACCAATAGTGCTCTCCAGAGGTCTTGGTTCAGGTACCACAGAAAAAAGGCCTTCTTTCTTTTCCTCTTTGTTATGGTTTAAATCAAAACTTCTATTTGACCAATTAAAAAAATTCCTCTGGACAGCTTGGCATGGAGCACGGATTTATAAATCTGATTTCTTGTTCCTTTAGGGATTTCTTTTACTTTTTTGTGAGCTCAGCTTTGTATTTAAAAGGATGGATGTCTCTCAGGACTGGCAATGGTTACTTAGGCAGATAATGTCATATTTATCCATTCATTTTACAAGCAGTATTTAACCCTATATATACCCTGTGCTTGAAGGTATGGAGAGATATGTCCCTGTTGTACATGTGCCCAAGAGGACTAGAGAATTGAACAGAATAAAGCAGATTTGAGCAGTGTCCCTAATTGAGCACAAGAGGGTCGCCAACCCAAGGTGTTGGAGAGAACCACGAAGTAACATATAAGGAAGGGCACGCCCACAGGTTATGGTCAAAGGAGGCTTGGAAACATGGCAGGAATTGGATCACTGGAAGGAGACATTTTAATTTGACACACACACAAAATGGAGAGTTAATGTTTCCTGAACCTGAAGCTGTTATGATCAAATAGTGTTTCACCAGAGAATTTTGAGAGCTTTATATATTGACCATGAGACAAGGAGGGACAGGGATGACTAGAGATAGAGAAACCAGCTAGGAACAACCACAATAGTCCATGGACCAACTGTGGCTTTCACACTCATTTTTTTTTTCTTTTTGGGAGAAAGATAATTTATAAAGGTCTCAACTATTTCAAATGTGTGTGTTGGTTTTTTTTTAATTTGATTTAGGATTCAAACTTTACTTCAATATCAGAGGACTCTGAAGTTCTCTTAGAAACATTATCTAGAGTCATTTGCTTGCCAAATATTTCTAAGTAGCAACAACAAAAACAATTAAATTCTTTGTAGTTAAAAGGCCTTTCTAGATGTGAAAAAGAACATTTGCTCATAATACCATTTAATTCTACTTTCAGTCTGTGACCTCAGGCATCCTGAGACATCCAAATCCAATTTATTCTGGAAAATGTTTTAGATTTCAAAATTTCAGATAACTAGAGCCTATATTTCATTTTTTTAAAATTTGCATACTCTTTTAAAGTTTAACACAAGAAAATCAAAGAAGCCATAATTACTGTAAATAAAAAAATAAAAATGCATTTTTTAAAACCCCAAGAAATTTCCCCAAATTTCACTAAAACACTGTCATTAATCTATGTATTAATCCATAAAGATTTCTGAAAGGTATAAAGGATTTAAAATGTCAATTACATTTAATTCTCATTAGTTCTAATTAGTGAGTACAGACAAATACTACCTTCAAAAATACCATTTTTTTAATATCCAATACAAATTAGGTTGTCTTTTTACCGGCTTATACATTTTTTTTTATTTATTATCCTTTCTCAAAACGCTTTTTCACTCTCAACCTTCTTTTTAGTGATTGGGTTTTTGTTCATATACTTTCTTCACAGGCTTTTCCACTTTTTTAGAAAGCATTTTCACTTAACAATGTGGAGAAGATGACAATGATAACACACAGGTTTAAACAACACAACAAGCAATGCAAGCAAAATAGAAGCCATCTTACAGGCAAAGCAGCTAGATCCAACTACAGGGCACCCTATACCCTCCTGCCCAAACTTGTGTTCAAATTATAAGTTTTCACTGGCCCCAGCATGCAGATATTTTATAGCAGGTTTTCAATTAGGGTACTGCATGTGGGATAAAAATGGACGCAAGCCATTACAGGGAATATTTGCAGAGTGAGAATTCAGGTAGTAAGGGTTATCTATATTGTGCTCTGTGCGTCCACTGTCTTCTCTAAAAAAAACTAGGTGAAAAAAATTTTAATTAACAAAATATATACAAACAAAATACAAAAACACAAAAAGGAAGACAAATTATTATATTTATTTTCTTATGGTTTGCATTCTTTCTTCTGATCAGACAACAAATCCCTTTGTGGAAGTGACCTCATTTTACAATTCAGTCCAACAAATGATGCTGGCCGCCCACGTGGTGCCAGGCACAGCGCCAGGCACTGGAGGCAGGGAGCTACTTATGACGCAGATGGAGCACCAAGGCTGAGCTTGTCAGCTTGCTCCGGAAAATGTTTGTTTCCTCCCAGTTTCCATGTCTGGATGCCTTGTATCTGCCGCTAGGTAACTGGGTTATTTCTCCACAGCACTCCCCTCTCCAAACAAAAGCTTTCCCCAACCATAACCAGCAAGACAAAATAGCAATCTGGTCGTTTATGTTGATATTCACCCAAAACGTGGTCATTAAAATAAGAGCATCAATTTTTACGTCGCTATTAATTACTTATCATTGTTTATAATGCTTATATATTTTAGAGCGAAATATAAAGAAATAAAAACAGGGAAGTGCAAACTGAGTATCTACCTCCCATTAAACTTCAACTTTAGTTCTAACCATTTCTTTATCTAACCCAGTTTTTCTTATTTTGTAAAAACAACCTTTAAAGTGTCCAGTGCCACAAAATCCTAGCTTTTCAGAGTTTCAGAAACTAGAGTCTCTTTCTCTCTCTGCTTCAGGGCTTCTGATAGTTCTTGGGTCAAAAGCCTGTAGTTATTTACGTATACTTACTAGAGAAAGGGCATTCTATTTTACTGTTTGCTGCCATGAATAGACTCTGACGCATTTTAACTGGCCGGCTAGACTTTCAGAGGAAATCTGGCTTTAAGCTTTCAGAAGAGACCTTCCTCTTTCTTTTTCTTTCATAGTTAGAAGAGGAGTCCGGGCACGGTGGCTCACGCGTGTAATCCCAGCACTTTGGGAGGCCGAGGCCGGTGGATCACCTGAGGCCAGGAGTTGGAGACCAGCCTGGGCAACATGGTGAAACCCCGTCTCTACTAAAAATATAAAAATTAGCTGGGCGTGATGGCGCACGCCTGTAATTCCAGCTACTCGGGAGGCTGAGGCAGGAGAATTGCTTGAACCCGGGAGGCGGAGCTTGCAGTGAGCCGAGATCTCGCCAGTGCACTCCAACCTGGGTGACAGAGTGAGACTCCATCTCAAAAAAAAAAAAAAAAAAAAAAAAAAAGGAAAGAGCAGGAAGACAATGGCAAGCACTGAGAAGCACTTATATACACAGTCAGGGCAAAGATTTCTTGCAGTAGTCAGGGTCAGACTGGCTTCTTCCCCTCCTTGCCCTTGAGACAGAGTCACCCAGGCTGGAGTGCAGTGGCGCGATCTCAGCTCCCTGCAACCTCCGCCTCCTGGGTTCAAGAGATTCTCGTGCCTCAGCCTCCCAAGTAGCTGGGATTACAGACGTGCGCCACCACACCTAGCTAGTTTTTGTTTTTTTAGTAGAGGTGGGGTTTTGCCATGTTGCCCAGGCTGATCTGGAACTCCTGAGCTCAAGGGGATCCAGCCCGCCTCGGCCTCCCGAAGTGTTGGGATTACAGGCGTGAGCCACCGTGCCCCACCCCTCCTTGCCTTTTAAAGCCCTTAAGTGCAGTATTTATTGAGGAGGCAATTTGTATATATATATGTATATATATACAGACTCCCCATACCAGTGATCCCTAGAAATATATCACGTCACATTTGTCATTTAAAACTTAATAGTAGCCACATTTTAAACAGTTACCAAAAAAGGGTGAGAAGGGGGATGGTAGGGACTGGGCGAGGTGGCTCACCCCTGTAATCCCAGCACTTTGGGAGGCCGAAGTAGGTGGATCACTTAAGGTCAGGAGTTCGAGACCAGCCTGGCCAACACAGCAAAACCCTGTCTCTGCTAAAAATACAAAAATTCTCCTGGCTGGTGGCGTGCACCTGTAATTCCAGCTACTGAGATACAGAAGGCTGAGGTGAAAGAATCACTTGAACCTGGGAGGTGGAAGTTGCAGTGAGCCAAAATCACTGCCACTGCACTCCAGCCTGGGTGACTCTGTCTCAGAGTCTTAGCGTGAAACCCTTTCTTAAAAAAAAAAAAAAAAAAAAAAAGGTAAAAAAAGGACAAATTAATTTTAATAATATAACTTTATATAACTTAATACACTTAAAATACTGTATTTCAATATGCAATCAATCTAAAAAATATTGAGATATTTTAGATTTATTTCTCCTTACTAAATGTACTTTACACTTAGAGCTCACCAAATGCAGAAGCTCAATTTTTACAGGAAATAATTGAGTTGAAGTGTATGATTTTATAAAATTTACAGTTGGAAAACTATATTCACATACATAAGGTGTTCCAAATATACTTAAAATGTTTTCCGTTAAATGAAAAAACATTCTCCTTTAATATTTGCGTCCATATGTACAAAACTGGTCCAGCTTTTTTTCTTTTAACCATAATTGCTTTAAAGTCAATTTAAAGCAAAAGCTATCAGTTTCAAAACTATCAAAGTTAATTTATTAACTCTTGTGCGAACTCGGCATTATTAATATTGACTCAAAATGATATTGATAGATTGAAAAGCAACTGTTTATAAGTATCCACAATGAGTTCTTTACACTTTTTCTTGCGGTTTTGGTAGCCAATTTAAGTAATGCTATCCATTACAATTACAATCTTCTGCATATTGACTCATATAAGAAAATAATAAAGATTGTTATTATTGATTAAATTATGAAAAGTTTTAATTTCATTTTAAAATCTTGTATCTGTCCAGAGAGGCCACAGATAAGCATTACCTTTCCTTGGAGTTTCAAGTTTAGCTTATTTATATGCAGTGTGATATCACTGTGAAAACTTAAATCACATCGCCATCTTTTGTCTTTGATTTTTGAATATTTGGCAATTTTTCTTTATTTTCAAAAAATATTGGATTGGAATTAACAGTACAGTAAATCTTCGTAAAATTCTTTCACGACTCAACCAAAGAGCACTGTCAAAGAAGGCATGAGGTCATTGAACTCATTGTCTTCTATTTCTTTCAACAGTTCTATAAACTTGTGATGATTCATTGCACCTGCATGTATGCACTGAATGATTTTAACAATGTATCCAGGACACATTTCATGGAGTTTGTTTCAGAAAATGAGCATAAATATTTTTAAGATGTATCATACAGTGAAACAAAGAAGTAAAGAAAATATCAGTCCCTTTAGAAAAATTCCAGTAAGTCCGATTTTTAGCTTAACATAGATGGAAAACTGTTTGTTGTGTTAGAAGCTAATTTTTTAATAACTAGCTGAAATTCTTCAACAGATGTAAAATATTGAAAAATACTCATGCCATGAGTTTAATATTTTAGGCCACGAATAGACAATAATTATTAGTAAATTAATAAGTTGTTAGGGACAAAATATACCCAAAGCATTAATTTGGCAGTGTATTTTATATCTCATGATTTATCAAAAGCTAAAAACAACAACCACAAAATTTGCAGTTTTTTAGATTTTGAATCAGCTGATCTCTGTTGTAGTTAAAGAGATCTGGTATTTTATAAGCAATTTTTTGGTGGCTTAGTTGAATTTCTTACTTTTGTGAAATATCTTTTTTGTCTTTATCTCATAATTTTCTTAAAAAATTATATAACTGAAATAGTTTTTTTTATTATCCTTCCATGTAAAAAATGTGTGTGTGTGTATGTATATGTAAGAACCAAAGCAAAATTATATTTGGCCAAAGTGACAAGCTGGGACCTGTAAAAAGTCTTAATTTTTTCTTAGATATGTAATTCTAATTTCAGGTAATACATTCCATTGGTTCTTTTTTGAATGTTGAGAGAAAATTTATCAAATTCACTATGTAGTTGCCAAAAAATCTCAATATTTTTGTACTTTATTATACTTAAATAAATTTTATACAACAGCTTTCTCATTTTGCGCATTAGCAAATTGCAGTGCTATTCATTGTGAAATTTGCAATATACTTTTTCCAGTCTCTCTTTCTTTCTTTTTTTTCAGTTCCCATCATAGTACTAGCTTCTGCACCTCCATGCAATTCTGCATCAGTAACATGTCTTAATTTGAATTTTAAAATTTATCCATACTTTTTTTTAACCAGACAAATAATTTAAATGTTACAATTACAGTAATAATATTTTCATTTCATTACCGGCTATGATTTATATAGTGTCACTCTAACTTTTTGTGTCTACATAAAATATTCAAATAAGCATATTATAATGTTACATCACTATATAGCAAACAATTATTTAAACTGGATCAATACGTGGACATCAACTAAATTAATGATGCATTTACATCTAATACTAGAAACAATGCATGTGCTCTACATATACAGTATAATACAATAACATCTTTTTTTTTTTTTTTTGAGACAGAGTCTTGCTCTGTTGCCCAGGCTGGAGTGTAGTGGTGCAATCTTGGCTCACTGCAAGCTCTGCCTCCTGGCTTCACACCATTCTCCCACCTCAGCCTCCCGTGTAGCTGGGACTACAGGCGCCCGCCACCACACCCAGCTAATTTTTTGTATTTTTAGTAGAGATGAGGTTTCACTGTGTTAGCCAGGATGGTCTCAATTTCCTGACTTCATGATCCGCCTGCCTCGGCCTCCCAAAGTGCTAGGATTACTGGCGTGAGCCACCGAAATGTTAACCTACAAAGGGATCAAGCTATGTTATTGGAAAACTCTTTTACACAGTTTCAGCTTTTAAATGTAAATTAATTACAATTATGTAAAATAAAAAATTTAGTACCACAATGGAACTATCCATATTTCAAGTGCTCAATAGCCATATGGTAGCTAGTGTTTACCATATTGGATACTGCAGCTTCTAATTATGTGGTAACTAGACCTGGTAGACACCTAGCTCAGTCCCTCAGTCAGGGATTTTGATTCCATTTCCTTGAGTGAATATTTAAAAACACACATGAACAGATATTTTAAAAATATGATTAAGCTATTATTTATCGTGACTCCTCTAAATAAGGATGTAATAAAATCACAATGTAAACTAAGAATAAAAAAAATCTCAACTTGCAGAAATCTAGCTTTCATACTTTCCACATTATTTTTTATAACATAGTATATTGAATAAGATTTCCATGTAAACCATTAAGCACAATGTCTGGAACATAAGAAGTCACATGCTTGTTTGTTTTTTCACTATGTCATCTGATTGCTAATGATTTTGAGCCAAAAAAGGTGGTGGCTGTTGTCCATTTGTTGATGCTGCTGGGGATGAGGGGATTGATGCTGCCCCGGGAGATTGATGGTTGAGAGCCAAGACTGGACTTCTAAGACAGCAGATGTCTCCACCCTCAACCTCTCCCCCAACCCATAAACCCATCTCCTGACTGCCAGGGTGTCTGGGGCTTGCTCACCACATGGGCTTAGCATCTTAAGCTGGTGTCTTCCTGCTAGGCCCCCTCTTCTCTGACCATATATATAGAGAAAGCTGGCCACTGAGTGGAGGGCCTTGCTCAAGGGCAAGCTTGTGGGGAAGAGCAGACTAAGCCTTCATTCAGTGTTTTTTTCAGAAGTAAGGAAGGGAGATCTCCTTCCTCTGCCCCCAATCCCTGTGTATCAGAATGTCCTGCAGAGGGTCAGGGAAGGGACTGCATAGCTTTACTCCCCTGGTCCTAAGGATTACCTTAGGACCTTACCTTAAGGAGAAGCCTCGAGCCCTTCTCCCATAATCACAGCGGTTTCTACCCTGGCTAGTTGTGCCTATTAAAGATTTTTATATGCTCTAGGTTACTGAAGTTTGAGTAAGGCAGTCTCTACAGGAAGCAAAATTAAGGATTTTCCAATATTTTGCATTTGGGGAGGATACCTCATCCCACCTTAAAATTGGTAAGTGTACTATTCAACTTTTGAATACTGGACTTCTAAACATTGTCAGGATACAGTGTTATCATAAATGAGGAAAAGGAAGTTTTAAGAGTAAACATCGGTATTTATTGAGAGCTTACCATATCCTAAATATCTCATTAATCCTCAAAGCAAAATTTATTGAGGTTGCTTTTATCTCCAGTTTGGGGATGATGAACCAGAGGCAGCAAGAAGATAAATAACTTTCCCAAGGACATACAACTATAAAGGGTGGAGTGAAGATTCAAACCTAGGCAGTCTGACTCTAGATTTGAGTTCTTTGCTCTTACACACATGTGTGACATGTATCTATATAAAATATCCCTAGCTTGGTGAAGTAGGAATAATAGTTTAATTATATGCTAGGCTCATGCCTATAATCCTAGCATTTTGGGAGGCCGAGGTGGGTGGAACGCTTGAGCCCAGGAGTTCGAGACCAGCCTGGGCAACATGGCGAAACCCTGTCTCTACAAAAATTACAAAAATTAGTAGGGCGTGGTGGCATGCACTGGTAGCCCCAGCTACTCGGGAGGCTGAGGAGGGAGGATCACTTGAGCCTGGGAGGTCACGGCTGCAGTGGACAGTGATCGTGGCACTGTGCTCCAGCCTGGACAACAGAGTGAGACTCTATCTGAAAACAAACAAACAAAATCCCTATTATTATTATTATTTTTACTTTTAAGCCTTTCTGAAAAGAAATCTTAAATATCTATACAGTGCTTTACTTACGTTTGCTTATAATGCTGATCCAATATTTTTGTTGTTGTTGCTATTGTTTAATTAATTTAACTTTCTTCAATTGAGGTTTAAAAATTGTCCTGTCTCCTACTTTAGAAAGGACTCAAGATTAAGACATAGGGCAAGATAAGATAATTAACAGTAAAGTTCTGCAGACTACATCTGAAGGAACAAGAGAGAGTGGCAATGAGGCGCTGAAATCAAACTGATTGGCACACGTGGGCAATAAACTGACTGTAAGCTTTCTGGCAGCCAAAGCAAAAACTAAACATGTTGGATTGCATAGTTTTTGTTTCCTGACAATAAGATGGATAAAATTCAGCTGCAGACAACTTAAGTAGGAATTGATTGCATGAGGCTTTAATAAAGGGAATTCAACAACAACATGGAAAATATTTAACCCAGGTTTTTATGAGACACAGAAGAGTCATTCAGATACTTGGTTGTCATATTGTTCTTAAATAAGAGCAGATGCCCTTACATACTAACTTGATACTTGTTAAATCGTCTCTCTAAGGCTGTAAAAACATAATGCTGTGTTTTTTTTTAAGACCTAAAATCATGATTAGAACTTGGAGATTCTCTGATGGGTAATTTATGTGCAATTCTCTCAAATACCAGATTCTTTAACAATCACTGGTCGCATGCTAAATACCTGTAAATAATGAGCAAATCCTCTAAACAATACAGATTTTTCCGGTGTTTATGAGAGCTGTAAGCTTTAGATGTAAGATAGCAAAGAAATAAATATGTCATTGTGTGTTGGAATGTTAAGACCTCAACTTGTAATCCTGACCAGACAGACTGACCACTTCAGGTCCTACACCCATGTGATATGTATCTATATAAAACATCCCTAGCAGGGTGAAGTAGGAATAATAGTTTAATTATATGCTAGGCACTGTTTGAAAATATTATCCACATTTTTCAGATGAGATAACAGAGGCTTAGAAAATTAGAAAGTTAAAGGTCCTATGCAAGCAGCCTGACTTCAATGCCACTGTTCTTCCCAGAGCACAATACTGATACCCAGAGAGGCCTAAGAATTCTAGTCCAAACTACTTGGGAAAATGTGACTTTAGTCTGACAAGTCATTGGGTTTGATGTTCCCACCTGTGTACACCTTCTCAAAGAGAACTTCTCTATTGTTCTGTTGGTGTTTTTCTGAAGAAGGCATCTATTAGATGCCACAAATAAGTAAAAGGGTGAAAAAGTAACTTAAATAGCAGAATAATTCAATTTAACTAGTTGCAGAAGATTGTCTGAAACTGCCCTTTTAAATGTGGGTGAATGATTACTTGTTTCTATGATTTAATTATGGCATAATTAACATTATTAATGTTCCTTCTGGCAATAGCTGAACTACAAATTCAATTGCTCCTTAAGACCTCTCTTGACAAAGACAATAAAACAATGCTCCTGGTTCAAAGGAGAAAGGCTGGCCTTCCTGTTTCCTATGGCAGAGACACATGCACCAGCAAAATTAGTTTTCTTAGTACTAGAAAGATTTAAAAAGAAGCAGTGCTAGGTCAATGCCCCATGCAAGGCCATTTAAAGTTGGTTCTGTATCTGCTATGAGAATCTGACTAGTCTAACATTGCTGGTTTGTAGAGTTGCTAAAGAAACAGGAGGCTAGCCTGGGTCTGTATTATGTATTAAATGATGTTATGTTACCAGGTGCCCTTGATGATTTCACAATGTGGAGGAAATGTATTCTTTAATAGAGCTTTGTTTCTATACAAAGCACTTTGTAGTAGTAGCAGTAGGAATAGAAAAGTGGGTGTAGATAGGAAGTCAAATTACTGGACTGAGGGACCATAATGATTGGGGGCTACGGAAAGAAACAAAAAGGACAGGGATTTTAAAATTCAGCAGCTCGGGTGATGCCGTAATCAGCAGCAGTAGGAAAGGTAAGAACCAGGTAGGTTTGGATGGTAGAGGGTAAGGAAACTTGTATATAAATCTATTTGAAAGTGGATGGTTGGGTTCAGCAAAGGTCCTAAAAAATTAACAGACACCCTGCCTTCCTTGTTTGGGACCTATGCCGTCCGTTACTATTCCCTATTAATATTGACACAATATCAAGAGTTCCCTAACAGTCTGATAAAGGTCTGAAGGAGGCAAAAGAGCTGACACTGCCATCTCAAAACCTGATCCAATTTATAGAACCAATACCAGGTTATCCATCCATCTATTCTTCCATCCATTCAGGTTCATTCATACTCAACTAACAGGTGTTTATATGAGCCAGGCACTGCAGGCTAGATACTGGGGATGAAATGGCTAATAGTGCAAGTTGCTTATAGTCTTATTGGAGAGACACATGAAAATGGGCAGTAACACCAGTATGCAATGATGGGGAATAGAAGACAGAGCATTATGCAAGCACATAGGAGCATCTAACTCAGCTCAGGTAAGTCAGAGAAACCTGCCTGGAAGAGGTGATGTCCAAGTGAAGACCCAAAGGATGGAGAAGGGATGGTCAGGTGAAGTGGTGAGGTAGGAGCCTTCCAGGCAGAGCTGTAAGCAGTCAGCAAGGTTGGAGCATAAAGGGTGAAGTGAGGTGTAGTGATAGTTTGGATGAAAGAAGTAAACAGGCAAGATCGTAAAGCACCTTGCCTTATTCAACTGTTTGGACTTGATTCTAAGAGCAGTGTGTGCTGTTTACTAAAGGATTAGATCCATATCTCTCCCTTAAGTTGGAGGGATGGTGTGGGCTTGGGTAGAGCTTCGAGTACTTTGTTGTCTTATGATCATCTGGGGCTAGAGTCAGAGCATCAAGACCTTTGGATCATGTCAGTGGGAGCATCTTAGGAACTCAGAGTCAAGGGTGATAGGAAATTTGGCCCCAGCATCATTTGGCACTCTACTGTCTGACTCCCTCTACCTTCCACTACCACTTGAGCATGCTTATCAAGGGATAACAATACCTACCTGTCTTTTGTAAGCACTTGCTTTGTACCAGACACAATGTAAGCATTTTACAGCTTCTTCTTGACAACTCTGTGTTGTAGGTATTATTATATCCATCTTACAGATGAGGCAACTAGGCTCAAAAACTTTGAGTACCTTGCCCCAGGTGACATGGTAGTAAGTGATAGAGGGAAGATCTGAACCCAAGCAAACTGATCCTAGAGCTCACGTTAATCACTGCAGGAAATATAAAAATGCAAGTAGCGTTCATTTCTTTAATTTGGATGTTATATTGCAGGGAAAGAGTCTGAGATAGAACTACATGATTTTTTTGTGGTTTTATAAATATAACCACATGTTTTATATGTGTAGAACATTAAATATGCCATTTAACAATTTTTAAGTGCAAAATTTAGTGGCATTAATGACATTCATACTGTTGTGCAGCTATCGCCACTATATGTCTCCAAAACTTTTCCATCAGCCCAAACAGAAACTTGGTACCCATTAAGCAATAACTCCCTATTCTTCCTTCCCTAGCTCATGGTAAACTCTACTTTCTGTCTCTATGAATTTGCCTACTCTAGATATCTCATGTAAATGGAATTGCACAATATTTATCCTTCTGTGTTTGGCTTCTTTGCCTGGAACAATGTCATTAAGGTTTATTCGTGTGGTAGCATGTATCAGAACTTCCTTTATGTCTGAAACAGACTTCATTGTATGCACATACCACATTTTGTTTATTCACTCATCTGTTGATGGACACGGGTATTTTCCACATTTTGGCTATTGTAAATAATGCTGTAATGAACACTGGTGTACACATATCTGCTTGAGTCCCTGCTTTCAAGTCTTTTGCGTAACTGCCTAGGAGTGGAATTGCTGGGTTATATGGCGATTCTGTGTGTAGCTTTTTGAGGAATCACCAAACTGAATATTGGCAAAACCACAAAACTTTAAAGATGGAAAGAATCCTGGAGAGAATTTTGTTAGCTCCTTTACTATACAACTGGGGAGATAATTAATTTTTAAATTAATTATCATTTTTTGAGCTTTGACTATATATGGTAGCCATTTAATATACATTATCCTATTTAATCCTCTCCAAAAGCCTATGGTGTGTTCATTATCTTAGTTTTATAGATCAAGAAACTGAAGCTCAGAGAGGCTAGATAACATGCCCAGCATCTCCCAAATGGCAAATGGAGGAGCAGAGCTTTGTACTCAAGCCTGTCCCTATTGTCAAGTTAACTGAAGACCCTAAACGTGGATCTGCTCATGTTGGAAATGGTTCTTAGTTTTGTCCATCTGTAGATGGAGTACAAAACGTTGTGTACTTGTGAAAATGTTTAATTAGTTCTTTAACTATATTTGGCATTTTACTTTTTTTATTTGTGGGTTTTTTTTTTTCATATTACCTGGGTTCACATTTTTAAAATGCACCTTCATTGTCAGTGAATGATGGAAGACGCAGGAAACAAAACACTTTGTTGTTATTGGGTGTTGGTGCTGGTTTTCTCTTTTTTGAATTTTCTCCAAAGTATTTCTCTGTATAGCTACTGTAATCTGATGCTCAGTAAACATCCTCTTAATTGGAATGCTGTTGGTAGTTGGGAGAACTCATCTGACTTTTACATCTTTTTGTCCTCCTTGGGTGTGCTTATCATTCACCTCTTGTCTAATTTTCTTTGTTATTTTATAGATTGAATTTTCAAATGCTGCTTCATAGTGATGACAGCCTTTCTTTCCAAGGATTCCTTTCCTGTTTAAGACGTTTCACACACCATTGTTTAAGCACAAGCACATTTAATCTTGAGCCATTGATAACATCTCCTGCAAGACTTCTGCTTCTCCTCTGCTTTATGGGTGTTTGATTCCATTCATTCGTTTTGTGTAATGTCCTTATTACATAATGTATTCTGTTGTGGCTTCCTTTTTTCTTTTGCTCTCTAAGCAATTTAATTGGCCATTTGGGGGGTCATATTACTTTTTTTCTGCTTAGGATTTTAAACTCTATTCTTGATGAGGCTGAGAATTAGTCTAGCATGTTTCTCAGTCTGCTTTTTCATTTTTACTTGCATAATGAAAGCACACTCAAGAGGAGAACTAGCCCTTGCAGCTATTCCCCATTGCCTTCTCTAAGGGGCTCTACTTACTAATTTTTTCCTCTCTGTCGGGTTTCTAGGTTTTCAAACTGGGACTTTCACTGCCTCTGGCTCACCTGCTGCCCTGAGCATCTTGCTGGTTATTCTGTCTGAATAAAAATAGTAGCTCACATTTATTTATTAATATATACAGGTGTCTATTTTATAAAGCACATTGAAATACATTATCTGACTTGAGTCTGACTTAAATACAGTAAGTAAACATTATTATCTCTATCTTATAGATGAGGAACTAAGATGTAAGGAGGTGAAGTCATTTTCCCAAAACCAGACAAACTAAGTGGCAGATGCAGGATGTAGACCTTATATTTTTCTAATATTTTCTTATTTTTTTTTAACACTTGGGTGTAGTCAAATTCTTTCTGGTTCCTAGTAATCAGATAGTGAGTTTTCAAAAAAAAAATGTATAAAGAAGCTAACGGAAAATAAAAAGGAAATAAATGTGGGAAAAAGCAAAGTATAAATCTAATGAAGATTGACACATTTCTAGCCCTAACTCTGAACCATGTATTTCTTCACTGATTTGAATTCACTTTCTTTTACTACATAAGAAATCACCACAAACTTAGAAGCTTAAAATAACACCCATTTGTCAGATTTGTCAGCTCACAGTTCTGTGGGCCAGGCAGGTTTTGAATCTGGCATGGCATAGCTGAGTTCCCTGCTCAGGGTATCATAAGGCTAAAATGAAGTTGTTAACCAGGCAGGCCTCTTACCTGGAAGCTCTGAGGAAGACTCTACTTCAAGCCCATTCTTATTCTTGGCAAAACTCAGTTCCTTGTGGTTGTAGGACTGATATTCCTGTTTTCTTGCTGGCTGTCAGCTAGAGGCTGCTTTCAACTCCTAGAGCCACATAAATTTCTTAACAGGTGGTCCCCTCCATCTTCAAGCCAGCAGTGGAGCCTGAAATCCCTCTCATGCTTCAAATCTCCACTTCCTCTTCTGCAACAAGCTAGAAGAAACTCTCTGCTTTTGAAAGGCTCAGATGATTAGGTCCAGCTCACCCAGATCATCTATCTTAAGGCTAACTGTGCCAAATTAATATAACCTAATGATGGGAGGAAAATCCATCATATTCATAGTCCTGGGGATTATGTAGGGTGTGTATACGGGGGTCAGTGTGGGAAGCGGGAGGAAACATCTTAGAATTCTGTCTTCTGGAAAAAATACTATTTGAGGTACACAGGCTCTGCTTTTTTTTTCTACCATCTTAAGTAACACCACAGGCTCTAGAACCCCTACTGTAAGGCCTGTAGGGATCCCTAAAACCTCTCCAACACTAATTGTTGATTTCCTCTCTGAGTGGGGCCTCAGACAGCCTCACTGGACTTTCAGGTACTCTCAGGTGTGTAATAGACCATTCCTGACTCTAGCCCCAAGAATTCTTAAATCTGCCTTTCTACATGCTGCCAAAGGTCCTTTGGCTCCCAAATCTTGAAAATCCTACTCTCATTCCTGACCCATCTCTTCCTGTTCTGGGTGGCTTGCCAGCAATCACTAACTGATAACAGTGGTCGTGGTCTCTGCTCCATGGGGAACTTGAGTGTTTTCCTTTAGGGTCCTAGCCGGTAACAGGCCTGGTCCTGGTCCTATCCTACTTTCTATGTAGCATAAGATAATGCATTATACTTGGGCTCGGCTCTGGAAGCTACTGTGACTTTCTCTCCATATCCTGGACAGATCAACATTAATGAAAGTGTCATCCTCCCAACTGCCCACCACCCACTTGGCATCTCCCAGCCATTTCTCATTTCTAATGAGGACCTCACTGAATTCTCACTGAAACCTCATTTGTTGAGCTGGGTGACAGACATCACAGGATCTGGTCAATACCATAGTCTGGTGCTTCTGACCATGATTCCCTCTAAATAGTAAGGTAGAATACCTGCCTCAGGGAAGGGATCTTTTAAAATGACAGCTTTAACATGTTATATTATGTGTCCAACACTTTCTTCACTGACTTACTGTATACAAGGATTATGGCCATACTACGGGGGAAGTATTATTAGACATATTTTACCAATGAACAAATTGAGGCTCAGGAAGTTCAAACCACTTGCCTAAGGATACAGAACTAATAAGTGACAGAAGCAGCATAGTTCACACCTCTTCCACTCCCGTGACAACTTGTTCTTAGAGAATCACACACACTATGAGAATGCCAAGAATACAGCGAAAGAAAGCGGTGTTGTGCTCTCACACTTGGGCTTCTCAACACTTGTGTCCCATGTGTTTTTTAAAACCTTTGTTTTAGGAAACGTTCTGCGGCAGTCGTTTCTTCAATCTGCATCTGGTTCCATCACTGTGGCTGCTGCTTGCACATCCCAACAAAGTGCTGCACTGCGAAGCGTTTCACAGGGACTCAAACAACAAAACAACTCTTAAAAAGTGTCCCATAAAGTGCCATATGCAAACATCATGTGTGGCGTGCACATTTTCAGCAGCGGCAGAATGTCTGCTTCCTGTGAGGATGCATGGGTGGGTGCACTGAAGGCAGGGATATTTTCTGAGTAGTGTGTTTGGGGGCAGCGTTAGGTACCCAGGCACACATGTTGGCCCGACACCCCTTACTCTTGGGTGTGGAACAGATCTACAACAGAAAGGGCTTGTGGTAGGAGTAGATTCCTTTGTTCTGACCCTGGTAGACTCAGCACTGCCATTTCATTGTTTCTAAGAAAGGCTCTGCTGGTAAATCAGTCTTAGTACCTGCCAAGAGCACTGTTTCCTTCTAGGAGAATCTTCCCAGCCCCTGGCCTCTGCCAGGGCCTCAGGCTGAGTGGGGCTGGCCAAGTCCTATATCCACTCTTCTTACCTTAGACAAGAAGGAAGAAACTGATTCAAGGACAGCCAGTCCATAGACTGACCAGCAACCTGTAAGATGGTCAGGTATGGAATCTCTTTCCTACCACAAGCAGTGTGGTTAACTAGGCCAATCAAGTTCTCATTCTTGGAAACCTGAATTTGAGATTATAGAGAGAACCAGGCAACTGGCAGAAAGAGAAAACAGCAGACAGAAAAAGGGAGACTACACGAGAGTAATGGGGCCACATTCATGGTGAAACACTCGGAACTAGGAACTCCTGAGATGGATGAGGGAGATGAGGCAGCCCAATGCTTAGAGTGGCCAGGGATCCCGAATGTCCTCCTGACACCTCCCTCTGACACCTGGCTTGATTTTTGTCTCTACTCTGGTATTACAGTGAGATTTTAGTCTCTTTAATTACATCAATTAGGATGCTTTGGGCTGCAAGTAACACAAAACCCAACTAAAAGCAGTCTTCATAAGAAAAATAAGTCATCTCACTTAACAAGACAATCCTAAGCATTTCCCCCACTCCCTGGGTTGGCTAATTTAGTGGCTCAACAATGTCGTGAAGATCCCACATGTTTCCTGAATTTCTTCTCATCACCCTCTATTTTGCTTGTCCTTCTAGCCTACTTTCTCTCATGGTATCAGAAGCCTGCAAAAGTTCCAGGCAATGACATCCAGAGATGAAAAAGGAAAAAAAAAGGGAATGTACCTTTCCTTTGCCCCTTTTAAAGCAAAAGGAAAATACCCCACCAACTCCCCAGCAAGCTTCTCCCACGTCTCATTGGTCAGAATTGCACCCTCTACCCATTCCTAAATCAATCACTGGTGCCAGCAGGGAGGAATGCAGCCGCCTGAAGTACAGGGTAGCTCTATCCTTTAATCCAGTCAATGTCAGTCCTCTGTTAGCCAGGGAGAAGGCAAACAGCAGTGTCTGCTCCACTTACTACCTCATCTACTGAACAATAGAGCTCCATTTCATGAGATGACCTGGTTACATCTGTTTCCTTCAACTCAGAGAGTTGGCTAATACCCAGATCAGCCTTAGCAAGTTGAAGACATGATCTTCAGTAGGTACTCTTTGAGAGTAGTTGAGAGCTGAGTGGTTATGTAAATACAATATTATACGGAGCCCTAAAATTTCCATCGCTTTCTAATATTTTACGGGGCCCCAAACACACACAATAGACTCCAAGGAATGAACCTATCATGCCACTGCTAACTCTGGGCTTCTCAGTTCATTTCTTGCCTCCTTGGGCCTCTTAAGCAGTGATGGCATTCTGTCTTTCCATGCAGGCTTGCTTCTAGCTGATACACAGGCTTTTCTGGAACAGTGGTTTTCAAAATTTCTTTGTGCATCAGAGAATCTCCTGAAGGGCTCCTTAAAAATTGCTGGGCTCAAAAGGACAACATATGAAGCTTAGGAGTGAAGGGACTTCCTGAGCAGAAATGGGCAAACTTCAGTCTTTTTACTGTGTCTTTGCAGTATTCTATAGATAATTTCCTTAATTTGTAAATTTAGTGACCATTAGCTAGTGATCATTTGATGGGCAGCGATTCTAACAGTATAAAGTCCACAATGTTCTATGTCCCTAGCCTGCCGTTTTTCAGCTGCATGTAAAAGGGGGTAGGATGAGATAATCGACCATTATAAAGATTTAACTATTTTATGCTGAAGCGGCCATATTTTCAAGGGATGACACCATCTTGCACACAACAATGAAGGTACTCGGCCATAGACTTGGAGTGAGACCATATATGGGGATGAGATTCTTCTAGATCCTAATACTGCTGTACTGGCCTGTGTGTACATGGGGTCCTTCAGCTGAGGCCTTGCAAGGCAAGCCAGCTGTGCCATGTTTGTAGATGGGGCAGAGGAAGCTAGAACAATGGAAAAGTAACCTATTTATGCTAGGTCCACCTATTGAAACGAGGTAGGAATGAGGCTAGGGTCCTTAACTTCCTTCAGGCATACTTTTCTAGCTACCTTCTGCCCTGTGTCTGGTACCTACATCCTTGATGATTGTTCTCTTTCATCCATTGTGGAGATATATATATGTATGAAAAGCAAAAAAAATAAATTGCTGGGCTGGCACTACCTCAAAGCTTCTGATCCAGGAGGCCTAGGAGGGGGCAGTTAAGATGCATTTCTTACTAGTTCCCAGGTGATGCTTCTGCTGCTAGTCTGGGCACCACACTTTGAGAATCACAGCTCTAGGGCTAGGGGTGCTAATCTTCATTCCAAATGGAAAGGAGGCTGCTAAGGAGTCCACTTAAGTAATTTTTCCTGCGATAAAGACTTGCTTCCTTGTCACTTGCTGTCAACACCCCTCCACACAGCAGCGACTGCCTGGCTTAATTCTTAAAGTAGAGGCCTCTCAATAGACAGGGTGGACACTTCTTCGCCTCCTGGCAGGAGAGAGAAAGAACGGACTTCAATCTTTGGTTGGCAGGGCCTGACTAGGCAGTCGGGCACAGAACCCTAGGGCTTTCCCACCCCTTTGCTTTCTCACTTGTAAAACGAATAAAGGTACTGGTCCTGCCAGCTTCACAGGTTGCTGTACATAGAGGAATGGTTGGTTGAAAGTGCCCTGCATAACGCAAGCTCTTTAGGACTCGCAAACAGCCTTAATCGCAGTAAGGGGGCACATCAGGGCTGTGAGAAGGCCCCCTTGAGGGCTCGGCACAGGTGATTCTGGGCTCTCTGTGCTTGCCAGCCTCCTAAAGTAGGTGCCCACTTTCAGAAGCTCTGCACGCCCCACCTGGGCGCCTCTGCTGGAGGTCTGCCTGGCCCGGGGCACCCGTGTGCGCGCGAGGATTTCTTTTGCAGAGAATGAAACCACCGTTCCTTTCCGTCCGTGGTCTACTCCGGGGTCCCCATCCCACGTAAGTGCTGTGGAACCCCGGGGTGATGAGCCCCGGGGGAAGCCAGCATCTCTTGCCCTCCAGTGCCGGCGCCCGGCAGAGCCCCGGGACTCCTAGTTTTTGCCGCCGCTGAGGACGCGGCGCGGGCTGCTGGCCGCGTCGCCGAGGGAGGGCCCGGACAGCCCTGCAGCGCGTCTCAGCGGAGCCCTGGGGGCCGCGCCGCTCCTCCAAACATGATTCAGAACCGCCCGTCAGCCTTGGCTCCAGCGCCTGGCGCGAGCGAACCGGGCTTGGCTGTCTCGGCCCCGTCTGAACCCTGCGGGCCGCGGGCCAGGGCGCGCCGGGATCCGCTGCGCCAGGACCCTGCAGACCCGGCCGCGGCCGGGCCGAGTGCCTCCCGCCGGGGCCTTACGCCCACGGTCCACGCTTGCAACACCAGGGCTGTACGGCGGGTCCGCAGCTGGGTCTGCGCCTGGGACTCGGGGCTCCCTGCGCTCCTCGTGCCGCACCCCTTGCCTTAACCCCAAGCGGACGGGTCCTGGGGCTTCACCGGCCAGGCCGGAGCCCCAGCCCCACAACTCCCCCCCTCCCACCGCACTGCCCCCTCTGCGCTGTGGCGGGAGTTGGGGACTGGGGCCGGAGAAAGGAGACGCGCCGGTCCTCAAGTCTCTTGAGCCATTTCGGTTCCGGGCGCGCCCCCCAGGGCTGCAGTCGCGCGAGGTTCCAGATAGTGCAGCTGTGTGGCGCCAGGCTTCCAGCGGGTTCTTGGTGGGGGTTCCCTCTCTGTGAGTCGGTGGGCAGAGATTTGCCTTGGAGGGTCGCACCTGGCTACAGAAGTATGAGACTTAGTTTCCGGGGAGCAGAGGGGCCTTGGGATAAGGAACTGAAGCTTCTGGGGAGTAGTTTGGAATTTTGGTTCCACCAATTATCAGCTGTCCAACCTGGAGAAATCCACTCCCCCTGTTTTCTTGGTTATAAATAACTATAGCTACCATTTGAGTGCTTATTATTTTCCATGTACTTTACGTATGTTATTTTTATCTTTCCAACGATTTTACAGGCCATATTCTGCTGATGGAGAAATGGGATCTCACCCAAGGAAAGTGACTTGCCAGGGTTACACCACTGGTAAGTGGAGACCTATGACTTGAACCTGTCTCTAACTCCAGAGACTGTACTTTCTCGGTAAGTGAGAACATTGACGCCATACAAAGAATTTTAAAACTGTAAGATGGTGACGGATACCATTCTCTTCTGACCTGTCCTCAGGCCACGTCCTGAAGTCCAGGCTGAAAGCATGACCTTTCTTTCTCCCTACCTCCTCAGCCACGCTTCCCTAGGCGGGTCAGAGTGCAAGAGGTAGGGTCTGGGACTGGGGACCCCTGGGTCAGCCTTGCACACCACCCCCACCTGGACCCTTCCCATCCTCATTTCTACCCCACACTGCTCAATGTCCTTGAGAGACAAGGTGGTGTCACTGTTGTGGCATTTCTCCTCCACTACCAGTTGCACAAGAGGATTTTCTCCTGTGCTCAGAGTGGGAAGAAGACCAAGAAGGTCTGTACAGTAACTCGAGAACCCTGGGGCCCAGTTTGAGCTCTTAGGACGCCAGCAGTGCCTCAACTTTCTCATCTGTGTTTAGAATTCACTTTGCAGAGAAAATGAGTGGACTCTTGGGGAGAGGAGGGCCTGGGTGTCAGAGAAATTTGGGTGCCAGTCTTTTGTAAAATGGAATCTATTGATAATGCCACCACCAGTCTTGCCTGACCCCACAAGAGTTGCGGTAAGACTCAAAATGGATAATGGCCACACAGTGCTCTGGGAAGTGTGAAGTGCCTCATAAACATAAGATGGTATTATTCATAGAAGCCATTGCAGGCAACAGGAATACAAAGATGAATGCCATCTTGGAAACTTTCAGGCTAGCAGGGGAAATATGAATGGCCATACAGTTAAAATATAAAACAGGGCATGCAAATGCTCCACCAATATGCCCGCGTGGTGCCAACTCATACTGATTTTGTAATAACAAAGAATATATACAGGTCTATCTGGGTGACCTCTACTACTATTGCAAGAACTCCTCTCCACAATGGCTCTAGCCAATCTGTCTCCCCTCTACAATTAGCTTCCTTCTTACCACCTGCGTGATCTATGGCAGGATTTTTTTTCCTTTGGAGTGTGTTTGTATTAGTTCCCTATTGCTGCTGTGATTGATAACCACACACGTAGTGGCTTAAAACAACACACGTTTGTTATCTTACAGTTCTGGATGTAAGAAGTCCAAAATGTGTCTCACTGGGCTAAAATCAAGGTGTCAGCAGGACTGTTCCTTCTGGAGGCTCTGGGGGAGACTGTTTCCTTGACTTCTCCAGGTTTTCGAGGCCACCTGCATTCCTTGGTCTGCGGCCCCTTCTCCATCTTCAAAGCTATCAGTGACCAGCCGAGTCTTTCTCACATTGAATCACTGCCACCTCTGCTTCTGTGGACACATCTCCTTCTTTCCCTAACACTGTTTTCTCCCCATCTCAAGAATCTTAATATAATTATATCTTTAAAGTTCCTTTTGCCTTGTAAGGTAGCCGTTTCACAGGTTCCAGGGATTAACACCTGGACATCTTTGAGTCGGAGGGAGCATTTATCAAAAAACAAAAACCCTAGGGCCTCAAACAAAACATTTTTAAAAGAGAAATATAAAAGCTTCAACTCTTCTTCAAATAAGTAACATAGCAACTTTTTCTATAAATGTAACAAATTCTGAAAAAAAAAACCAAAAAAAACAAAGAAACAAACTTTCAGTTCCTAACTACACCCATAAAAAATCAGACTCCCTGGTGTCAGGGAAGAAGAAACAATGGGTGACAATAAATAGACTCCACATAAAAGGGAAGGGAAAGGCTCCCTAGGTTGAGAAGTTATGATATGTGCTTCACTGGGAATGTAGGTACAGCCTTTGGAAATGATTAGTTGTTAACAATTGTCCACAGCTCTTCAGCTGCTCTACTTTATAATCCTTTAGTGTAGTGACATCTAAAACATTTTTTAAATAAATCAATCAACTGTATTTTTTAGAAAAATTTTAGTTCACAGCAATATTGAGCAGAAAGTAGAGTTGCTTGTCCCTTCACCCTCCTCCCACTTAAAACATTTTTAAAGCATTAATAGAATTCTTGGCTCCTTATTTTCCCCCCAAAAGAAATTCCTACCTAAAAAATAAAAATCGTGCTGCTCTGGTTCAAGTGGACTCATGGAGTCCCTCAACCTCTGTAAATCCTACTGCATGGTTTAACACCTGTTTTGCAGTTACTTCTCTTGAGTGGAATAATGAGAATAACTCAAGTTAGAAAGTACCCTCCGGACCACAGAAGTAGGGAGACTGTCATGTTGGAAATTATTCTCCAGGCTTCAGAAGCAAGAATTGTCATAATATTCTCCCAGGAATTAGAAAAGAGCAGGCTCTTGTTCTGACGTAGAAGCATAGAGTCTTCTAGGCCATAAATCTGCTTATTTTAGTTACAATAGTGAAAGGGCCAGTGGGCAACACGGTAAAAAGTACATGGGCCCAGAAATTGGGGACTTGGATGGGGCAGCTGGGATGTAGGGGACATATTAATTAAGACCTAGTGTGGGCCTTTCGTATTCTGGGTCAGATAAGTGAACAAGCAGGTGAGGTTCTGTGTGGGCTACCCTGGAATACAGTGTTGCATAGGGTTGTGTGAGAGGTGCGGGGAACGCCTAGAAAACTTTGCAGGGAGAATGTTTTCTAAGCCAACACCTAGAAGACAAGCAAGAGTTTGCTGGGCAGAGAGTGAAGCTGGGCGCGGCTGGGATCATGGAGCCGGATGTGCACAGCCGGGACATGGGGAAGAGCTGCAGTGGAGAGTGGGGTATGGTGGAGAGCAGTCAGGGCCAGACGATGCTGGCGGGCCTGGAGGCCTTGGGAGCGCTGACTTTCTCCAAGAGCTGGGGGTGCCAGGACAGGGTCCCAAGCAGCGGCCCTACGTGGCCTGGTTTGCTCTTCACTGGCAAGCTCCATGGCCCTGGGCAATGTGCTGCTTCTGTTTTTCTTCTCATCGGTGCCTGGCTGAGCTCTGGAATCGTTTCCTGCTCTGAGCCTGAAACTTCAAGCAGTAAGAAGACGGTCCACAGCCCGGTTACTGGGGCTCTGCAAATGCGACGTTCCCAGTGGCCCTCTCCCAGGCTCCGGGCCTCCGGGTAGAGGAACTTCTGTCTGTAAAGGATGAAGGCGACCTTGCTCAGGCTGCAGCGGGATGGAGAAACGTGACCCAGCGGAGGGGCTTTCGGCTGCGAGGTGCGAGAGGCGACCCGAGGGGTGAAAGCAAGGCGAGTGCGGTCAGCGCACCGGGCTGGGCGGCCTCCCAGCCGGCCGGGGAATTCGTTCCCAGCTCCAGCCGCATCTCACCGCCTCTATCGCGCCTTTGGGGCCTCAGAGGGAGGCTGCATGGCCCGGAGGCCTGAAATCCGCCATTTGTTCCCTCCCGGGGCGGCAGAGCCACAGCTCACTGAAGGCTGCAGCCTCGGCAGCCGGAAGCGCTGGCCGGGCGCTTGGCCAGCGACCGCCTCGGGTCGGCCTCGGGTCTGCGCAGGCGCAGGCTCGGGAAGCCGGGCGCGGTGGTGTTTCTGCGGCCCGCGGCTGCCCTCTCGTGGCCGCAAGGCGCCATGGCACGGCCGCTTCCACGCAGCGGAGGTGCGCTGGCCGGAAGGCGGCGGGTCCGGCCAGCCAGGGAGACCAGCCAAGCGCTGTGTTTTTCCAGGTCCGCGCGGGCCAGGGGAACCCTGCGTGTTTGCTTGGTGGGAGTGGTTTACTGGGAAAGTAGACGGAAGGTACCCTGCAAATCGGCGTGCACTGTATTGTTTGGGAGTCAACAGCCTGGAAAGTAAATATCAGGTGAGGGCAGTGCTGGGAACCACCGCCTGCCCCCTCCCCTGGCCTTGGCCCTGACTTTGAGCGGGGCACCGCGGGCCAAACAGCTCGGCGGCCCAGGGGAGAGGGAGGAGGAGGAGGAGGCAGGCAGCGGGGGAGGTGTCAAGACTCAGAAATAGGAGCCAGCTAGGCCCAACATACGCCTGCCACCCCAGGGGCTGCAAACAGGGAATACCATCCCTTCTGCCCACCCCACGAAGACATCGTACACCCCGACGAGTCACCATTCCAGAAAGGCTGGCTTTCTGCAAGCGTGCGGGGGCGGTGAGAGTGGAGGGTGGCGGGGTTGCTCGGGGCCCACCCAAGCATAACTGTCTGAAGGGCACACCTCACAACGGAAGGTTTAGGCGAGAGGGGTGAACCCACACTCTGGCACGAGAATCATATGTTCTGTTCCACCCAGGGAGCCGCACTACATAGAGTTCTCTTTAAATTCATCTTCACTGGCTGGGTGTGGCTGAGTCTTCTCCTATCTCCTGATTCTCAGTTAACTTTTTGCGTCCCACCCTGTTCTTGTCTCAAGCAGTCGCTTTGGAATGTGTTTCCTCTCGTCCGGGGTTTGAAGATTAGTCATGAAAAACATCACTCTGCCCTTGCTGAAGTGCATGTTGGCTACTCGATCATTCCACCTGTGTGCCCCAAGACGGTCTGCTAAGGAGGGCTCCCCTCTTTTCCATGCCCTCTCAGCTCCAGACTCCATCCCATCCATCAACATTATCCTGTGCCCCCGAGGGAGGAGGGCGGGGGAGGGTTTCTGTGCCTGGATTATTGGTGAGAGGAGAGCAAGTGCAGAAATGAAGCTATGACTCTTGCAGAAGTCATGCATTCCGTTCAAGGATATTCCTTTCCGTAGCCTCCACACATTCCCTCTGGCTGCAGGCCCCTGGGATTTTTCTGTGTGACCCCGTCACATTGCATCTGTATAGATTGTCAAAGCACCTCATGACTGTGGAGGAAGAAGTCGGGGACAGAACATGGATCTGGAAGGCTCACAGCATGGATTTGGTAGGGTGACACAATGTCCCATGTTCTTCAAGAAATGTCTAGACTAGGTGATTGATTCTATCGTAGATCTGGCACAATGCTCCTGCCACACAGGGGGCAAATTGAGATCCAGAGAGAAGTGACTGGCCCAGGTCACTCAGCCAGCTGGTAACTTAGCTGGAATTCGTTCCCAGGTCTCCTGACATCCAGTTCATTCATTTTTTGCACGTTTCCTGAGGACTTACTGTATGCTAGGCACTGTTGTAGGTGCTAGGCATATACAAAGTGCCCGTATAGAGCTTGTGTCTTGTAGTGTGTGTGTGGGGAGATTGTGGATAAACAAATAAACAGATTTATCCAGAATGCCACATGGTTAAAAGTTTTTATGATACTCAGTGCCTCTTTTCCTCTTGTTTTTGAAGGGAATGGGTTTGAGGCTTGAGAAGAGATGTTCACTCATACACTGGGTCATTAAATAAACATTAGAGGATGCCCCACTATGTGCCAGATGCTGTGCAGGGCACACAGATATAAAGGCAGGGGTCTGTCTTCAAAAGCTGCCACCAGCTGGGCAGATAAGGTATTCCTCTTAGCATCTTTACATGGATTTCTGTAATTGTTATGCTAATTGTTTTTCTCCCCAGATCTCTCCCAAAAAGGATGCTTGTAGAAAACGATGATTCTGAAATGGTACAAATCCCTTTCCCAAAAGGCATCTCAAAGCCAGCCGCTGCTACTGACTTATTGATGGCTATCACCCAGTGGCCTTGGGGAGGCGGTGGGAAGCCCAACCACTGCCTGTAATAAGGAGAGACAACTCAGCATCCACCCTGCAGTGAATAATAGAACAAAAAGCTGCCGGCGCCTGCAGGATCAAAGCACATGAGCGATCACAGTGTCTCTGGGTTAAATAGATCCGCGAAGGCCAGGCAGCCAGCAGATGTCATGGAACTTTTTGGGGGAGAAGTCTGGGTTATGGAGGAAGCCTCAGCTGGATTTCAGTACCTTACAAGATGCTCTTCTGTGGCTCTCTCCTGCTAACCTTCCTTGGACATGGAATAATCTTCCCTTTATCCTCCCTCTTCACCACTGCTGTTCCCAAAGTCTAAAAAGATGGGGGCAGGAGGTGAGACAGGAGGGGATGGGAAAAGAATACTGGACCAGGAGGCAGGAGACACTGGATCTGTGAGTGAAGGCAATGCTGAATGACTTCCATGGCCTCAGTCTCCCCATCTGTAAAATGGGAAGGTTGATATATGGCCTCAACCTTTCTGCCCACTTTGATAAACCATATTTCACCAAAAAGAGGCAGAGGGGATCTGTTGCTTTTCAGATTCCTGTCCAGTTACTTCTAGGTCAGACAGAATGATTGCCCCAATGATTCTGGGTCCGCAGACTCAGTCTGTGAAACCCCATTTCTTGGAGGAGTTGGGATCAGGACAGGCAAGAAGACTATACTATTCCTGCCTCCTATTTGCTCCCTCTTGCCAGTGGGGAAATCAGTGGCAACCTTAGAGTAATCTTGGAGGGGTGGGGGGATGAGTTATTATTGGGATTTTTATCTGCAAAGAATATTTTCAGATGTTGTTTGTGCATTTAAATGTACATGCAGTTCTAGAGGAGAAGACTCTAGTGGTTGCGGTGCTGTGAGGCATTTTGCATATATTTATCTCACTCAAGAAGAACTGTGGGGTCCTTGTGAAAGTAAGTGTGTATGTGTGTGTGTGTGTGTGTGCGCATGTCCTGAGTCAGCCTGAGTCCTGAGCCTTTTGTCTTTGCTCCTGAGTAAGCCACTGGGGGAGGTAAATATATAATTGGAGGAAGAAATGTGTCAGAAAATAACTTCTTTACTTGTGGAAAGTCATTGAAAACCCTTGGTTTTGCGTATGAGCACAGCACCCTGTAGGCAGGTGAGGAGTCTTAGAACACGGCGGGGAGCGAACCAGACACGTACTAAAGAAACCTCCATGTTTGATATAAACCCAATGCACAGGTCCACACAGACAGGGCATGGAGGTGTGCTCCACAGGGCCACCACACGGACCTCTGTGATGGCAAGCCCGGATGCATGTACAACTAAACATCCTCACAGATACACTTTAATGTAGGTGGAGACCTGGTGTTATGGGTTAGACTATGTCCCCCCACAAAATATATGCTCAAGTCTCATCTGCCATCTACATTATTTGGAAATAGGGTCTTTGCAGATGTAAACTGGTTAAGATAATAAAAAAAAAAATAAATAAATAAAGGTAATGGCAACAATGAAAAAAAAAAGTAAGTCATCCTGGGATAGGGTGGGAGAGCCCTAATTCAATGTGACTGGTGTCCTCGAAAGAAGAGGGGAATTTGGACACAGAGACACAGCTGAACTTACTGAGCAGAGCCTCCCAGATGCTGCAAACTCAAGGAGGCCTCTGTGCTCATATCTTTATTCTCTCTCTCTCTCTCTCTCTCTCTGTCTCTGGTACAGCGTTTATGCTTTTTGGCAGTTCTTTCCTCTTCATTCCCCCATCTCTCCAATTACACATTCATATACACATAAACACTCCGATACCCTCAAACTACCAGAAGCCACGTCAGAGACTTGAGAACTTTGGACCAGGAACTGATGGAGACAAAGATGACCTAGGAAGATGGCTACATTGGGAATGGAGGCAGAGATTGGAGTTATGTGGCCACAAGGGAAGGAACTCCTGGGGCTCCCAGAAGCTGGAAGAAACAAGGATCCTTCCCCTATAGGCTTTGGAGGGAGCGTGGCTCTGCAACACCTTGGTTTTGGACTTCTAGCTCCAGAAGTGTAAGAGAATAAATTTCTGTGATCTCATATTCAGTTCATGGTGCTATATCATGGTAGCCCTAGAAACTAAGATACACAGGTATGTTGGATGTATGGGTCAGGCCCACACCCAGGGTGCATACGGCCTTTGGTTAAAAAAAAACTCTCATTTCTGTGGGGAATCCATTGCCAGTGGTCTGGATGACATGGCCACTGCCTCTCTTCAGGGATGTGCACAAGACCCTGGCCTGGCCAATCAGAATACCTCATGCCCAGGACCACAGTAACTGGGTCAGGGGTTGTCAAGATTTATATAAATGATTTACATAAAATGTTTAAATGTTTTGTTAAAATATTTAAAATAAAAAATGTTTCTAAGATTTCAGTTGCCAATTGTTTTTTGTGAGTATATACAAATACAACTGATTTTTACATATTGGTTTTGTATCCTGTATACTTGCTAAATTCATGCATTAGTTGTATTTTTCTAGATTTCTTAGAATTTTCTATGTACACAAATCACAATGTCTGTGAATATACACGACATTACTTCTTCGTTTCCAAAACTTATGCTTTTCACTTCTTGTTCTTGCCTTGTTGCACTGGGTAGAACCTCAGTTGTATATTAAATATATTTTTTAAAAAGGTAGACATTTGAGCCTTGTTTCCAATCTTGGGAAGACACTATTCAGTCTTTTGCCCTTGTCTGCTTCTAAGCTGCCAAAGCCTGTGCTGTGGTGGGGAAATGTCACTCTGTGGGCCAGCCATGGTGTGAGTGTGCAGATGGGACAGCAGCAGCAGGTGCATTCTCCTGGGAGGCCAGGCCTGGTGGCAGGCATCTGTAATCCCTGCTATTTGGGAGGCTGAAGCTGGAGGGTGGCTTGAGCCTGGGAGTTCGAGTCCAGCCTGAGCCACACAGCGAGACACTGTCTCTTAAAACAAAAAATAAAAAACAAAACCAACAACCCCCACGCCTGCCTGCCAAATTTTCCTGGGGAAGGCAAGACACACAATTAAGAAAGTAAACATTATGTCATCCTTGTCTGTATCTCAGTAGCCATAGTTGTGGATTCCTTCAGTTCTCTCTTGGTAGAAGGTGGGGCCTGAATAAATGACGACATAAAGCCAGCTGAACTTAGTGAGCAGAGCCTCCCAGATGCTGCAAACTCAAGGAGGCCTCTGTGCTCAGATCTTTATTTTCTCTCTCTCTCTCTCTCTGTCTCTGGCACAGCGTTTATGCTTTTTGGCAGTTCTTTCCTCTTCAATCCCCCATCTCTTCAATTACACATTCATGTACACATCAACACTCCGATACCCTCAAACTACCAGAAGCCACATCAGAGACTTGAGAGCTTTGGACCAGGAACTGATGGAGACAAAGACGACCTAGGAATGGTTGCTTGCCCTACCCTCAGGAGTTTACAATTACTGATAGAGACAGAAGTCTTTGCAGGAGGTGGGGGGCGGGGGGTAGGAGAAACTTTACAAACACACCTGTCAGCATACACAGGGATAATAATAGGAAAGGGGGTTTTCATACAAGGGAAGCATCTGGAAACTGGGAGGGTCCTACAAAGCTGTATAATCCAGCGTCTGTTGAGATGCAGGAGACCACCCCAGCTCCCAGGCCTGCCTTGATAAACACCTTGAATTTGCAAGATGAAGTTTGAGGATGGGTAGGAGATGCTAATTATAGCCTATATTAATGAAGCTATAAAGTAAATAATTGTAGCCTCCTATTACCAAGCACGAAGGGAATATTTTGGGTAATCTAAGTGGAAAGTCCAGAGCGTAGGTCTGGCTTTAGGCATGGTGGAGTAGTAGCCTAAGGCTCACATCCTACCAGTTAGCAACCAACCCCAGGAAGAGTAAAGCTCCTTCCCCACTAGCTTTGGCAGAAAAGTCCTATAGGAAGATCTGATTAGCTGGGTTTGGGTCACATGACTACCCCAACCCAATCACTGTGACCAAGGGCATGAGATATTCTGATTGGCCAGGCTAGGGTCTTGTGCCCATCCCTGAAGAGGGGCAGTGGCCATGCCATCCAGACCACTGGCAATGGATTCCCCACAGAAATCTTTTACTGGAAGAAGTAGGGAGCTCAGTTCCGGACAGGCAGCACAATTGCAGCCTATGACACCCTCTAAGCCTTAACTCCATGTATGACTGTATGAAGCAAATGACTTATCCTCATGATGCATGTTTCTTCATCTGAAAGAGCGGTCATAGTTTTGATTTATGTTATATTTACACAATGCATAGCATGAAGCCGATGGTCAAGAATGCACTCTGAGATGTTAGGGGGTATTCTATTCAACTGGAGCCCGTGGCACAGACATTTTCTTTGTAGCAAGCCACAGAGTAAGTGGTTTCATTCCCTGAGCCTCAATACCCGGTGGCCAACTAGGGTAACAGATTACTGTCCTTGGAAAGGCACAGAGCTCATCAGAAAGTGCAGGCAAGCCGGGCACAGTGGCTCATGCCTGTAATCCCAGCACTTTGGGAGGCCATGGCGGGCAGATCACAAGGTCAAAAGGTTGAGACGATCCTGGCCAACATGGTGAAACCCCGTCTCTACTAAAAATACAAAAATTAGCTGGGTGTGGTGGCAGGTGCCTGTAGTCCCAGCTACTTGGGAGGTTGAGGCAGGAGAATCGCTTGAACCTGGGAGGCGGAGGTTGCAGGGAGCTGAGATTGCGCCTGCCTGAGCCATGATCACATGCTTGTAGCTCAGAGCATGGTCCCTGAGGACACAAAGACAGGTGTCAAGTAGGTGGGTCTTGGGACACGCACTATGTGGCCCTCTTTTCTCCAGCTATCCCTGTCCCAACTCAAGCACAAATAAGATTACAGAAAGCCACAGAAGGCAGTATTCAGGAATTTAAAAGATAAACATGCACGGGGTAATTGAATAGCATTCTGCTGAAAAATGAGCTCTCAGAGCTCATAATCGAGGCTATGCTTTAGTGGAGGGGCTCTCCCCGTCTCCCTTTGCAAACCCAGGAGGCCAGCAGCTTTAACCCTTTGGGAGGGCTGTACTAGGGAAGGGCAGGCTTTGGCTTTGTGAAGACTGAGGAGTCGTGGGAAAAGTCCGATGATGGAATGAGGCGTCGGTGTTAGAGGGAGCCGCTTGTTTAAGCTGAGGGTGGAGAAGTGGGGTAGGCCCTGTGATTGCCAAGGGCCCATCAGCTCTGAGATTCCGATTCTACCATTATGATTTTTCAGATTCAACCATCAGAGATCTGCTGAGAGTGTACCATCTGTCTCGTCAGCACTGGGCTCTGCACTGTGGAATAAACATACAAAGAGTGAGAATACAGCAAATAGTTTATCTAGCATTCAGTGTGTGCCAAGCACTATTTTAAATGCTTTACATATAAGAACTAATTTGATCCTCACAGCAGCCACAGGAGGTAAGTTCTATTATTGTCCTAATTTGACCGTCAAAGAGTTTAAAGCAGAGTTTAAGTAACTTACTCAAGTTCATATGCTAGTAAGGAGAGAAGCAGGATTTAGACCCAGGGACAGGAGAAATAATATGATATGCATATTTAAGTATAAAAATATGATAACACAATCCCTGCTCACTTGAATTCACCATCTTGTGGGGAGCAAGGTGTCTGAAGGTTTGAAAACAAAGGGACATGATATGAGACCCAGAGTGGAAGGGCTGTCAGGGCCCTTTTTGTCAATCCCCTGCCTCTAAGGCCCAGCCTTTCTTAGCCACCCTTGGTAATAGCTGAGGACGGATGTTGCCCTTGGAACCATTACTCACGAACGTGCCGCACACCCCTACTCCCCCAAACCCACCTCCCTCTCCCCTTTTCTCCCTTTCTCTGGTTATTGTAATTATTTGGGAATTTACAGAATAATCTGTCACCAAGTCCTCCAGAACAAATTGAATGTCAGGTTTATAAAACAACCTAATAAAGCAGATGGCATCACCCGCTGGTAAATCTCTTCCCCGTTTCCTGCCCCACCCCCTCCCCACTTCAGTGTCTCAGAAGGCTGACAGATTATCCATTTACAGCCAGATTAATCCTGAACAGTATAAACATGGGGAGAAAATTACACTTTCTTGTCTCCATAATTGATAAGAAGGATACATTAATCTATAAAGCCCGGAGGAAAGGCCCATCTGTTTGCCCAGACAATCGTGGGGATGTCTGGGAAAGAAGGAGACCCGTCCATCTCTCTGTCTGTCTGTCTGTCTGCCTTTTTGTCAGAAACCACTTTTTCAGAAGCTGCCCTCCCCTTCCCTGGCCCCAGAAACTGGGCACCTGTAACCTTAGACAGTCCCCTGGCCCTGCGTGGGAGGTAGCAAGGTTCAAGGACCCACATCTCAGGATTCCAGGCCAGGGACAGAGACTCTGCCTCTCTCCAGCTTTCATCTTCTTTCCAGAAGTTATGTCCATTGCAGAGATGTCCACAAGCCCAGCTCTGTGGTGTTTCTAAGCTTGCCTTTGGTTTCCTCAGACCAGCCCTTGAGGAGATTCCAAGCAAAATTTGTTCAGTAAGATTCTCATTCAATTCCCTGCCTGCTCTCTCCTATTGCTTTATAACTTTTTGCAGATTTACACACTTCCTTCCCTGTTCCCCCCCTCTTCCAGCACCTTCTCTGTTAGTGGCAGCTGCGAGGCATTAATTGTCTCCTTGAGGCCTGTCAGAGCTGTCAGGAAATGTCCCAAGGGCCGATTTCTGCCAGTGGAGGGATGCGGTGGAGCCAGGGTTTCTGGTAGACTCTGCTCAAGAATTGACGGTCCCCTCCCAGCTCAGAGGTGATACTGAAAGGGACACATAAACATTGCCCCACTCCCTCTCTGTTTGGAGGATTTCCTAAGGCTCGTCCAGTCACTGTGCTTGGGATGGCTTGAGGAGGAGATGAAGGGAGCATGGCAGGTGGGTGGATTTATCTAGAGTGGGAGAGAGAGCCAGGGAAAGTCCTGAAAGGTCCCAGCTGGCCAGAAGAACCTCATTCGCCAGAAGGATCTCAATGAGATAAATAGAAAATTAAAATGAAGATGGGGGAGGAAGACAGGCAGAGCAGACCTCCGGAAAATGCCGAGGGGCCAGAAAAAAGGGATATTGAGAGATGGAATAAAAGAAATACAGAAGTCTATGGCAAGAGCTCGCAGTTCCTGTCTCCAGCATGGATGGGCATGTTTTGGGGTTTGGGGATCTCTGCTCCCTTAGTCTCTACTGTGTTATTTCCTCCGGAGGAGAGAGGGGGTGCTGCCTCCAAAGTGAGGCACATTCCTGACGCACTCCCTATTTTGTGTGGAGGTGCACTGAGTGCCCAGGGTCTGAGTAAATAGCAGGAATCTCACAGGTGGGTTGTGTTTTACCAAACGCTTCACACCCACCCCCCAGACTGCAGACTACCTTTGGTTAGGCTTTTCCAAAGAGGTGGACTGTGGGAGGAAATGCTGTGGACTGAAGTGTGGGCTCCCAGGGCCACTTGTCTCTGCGGGAATTGGTGGACACAGGAGGACTTCCGACAAATGTTCCAGTCTTTGTCTTGCAACTCCCAGCTCTTTGTACCAATGGTGCACGCTACTCCCGGCTGAAGTTTGAGGATGACGCTAACCAGGTTGTCCAGACTGGACTGTAGCTCTTAGAGCACTGATGGTGCTTGGGCTGTTCTTTGGGTTCCAGAGTTGAACAAAGTTAAACAGTGCTTCTTCCCCTGACTTACTTTTTGGTATTCTTTGCTTTCCATCTCTTCTCTACTTTGGCTAATTTTTCTCCACTTCTTTCTGTTTTTTTTTCCCTCTTGCTCTCTACATTCTACAACTTTGATTGTGGGTTTGATACAATCTCAACGAAATTGTAAATACTAACTCATTTTGGTTTCATGCTTTTCTTTTTAAAATAAATGATTAAGTTCTACATATGTGTATATTTTAAATTGACAATTGTAATTTTAAAGGAGAAAAAGATTAGTGACTCTGATTCCAGGGTTCTATAAACTTGGATGTAATATTCCATTTTCATTTACTAATTTTAATAAAAATTATTACAACATGAATTGTAAAGTAATAATATGTAAATTATCTAGAGAAACCAACAAAGCACTCAATTTTAGCCCCTAAATGTAGTAATTAATTCTGGATGATCATCTAAGGTTTGGAGGGTGAATTTTAATAGGTGTACGTTTGGGTAATAAAATGAAATTTTACTATTATTTGAGAGTCTCAAACTGCTTCAATCAATTAACTTGTTCTGTCTAAAGAGGCAGCTTTTGTGCTGTTTTAACAGTGAAAGCTGAGTTTCTTGGTTCTATCACTTCATTTTCATAGAGCCACAACCAGCATTAGCCTCCCACATGCTGTCCAAAGAGCAGGTTGCTGGGTTTTTTTTGTTTGTTTGTTTATTTAAATTGAAAAGCCTTGTGTTAGACATCCTCAAAAGATACAAGGAAAGTGAGAAATGCTACTTTTGTCCTTAAAAAGACAAGGCAGAGTTAGAAAATGTGCCTGTCCCAAAGATGTCATTAAGAACGTTACAAAACAAAACCAGCTGTTAAAAAAAAAAAAAAGTGACGTGACGTGCGAGAGAATTGGAGAATGGGGAACTGGGTTTTGTATTTGTCATATCTCACAGTTTTTCTCACATTGTCCCCTGTGCCTAGACTGCCTGTCCCATACTCTATGTCTCATACATTCCTGGCATCCCTTCCCCTTCCCCTCCTTGGTAGAAGTGACTGCTCCTCCTTTGGGTGGTCACTGTGTCTGCTCCATGCTTCTATTAACATCTTCTTGCATTTTAATATTATTCCATGTTTGTAAATTTAAGATTCAAGAAGCTCAGTAAACCACAAACAGGATAAACTCAAGGAAAACTTCACCTAATCTCATAGTCAAAATGGTGAAAATCAAAGCAAAGAAAGACTCTTTAAAGCTGCTAGAGGAAAAGCTACACATTACATATACACAGGTTCTGAGGGCTGCAGGTTTCTTCTTGTCCCATGAAGGTCAGAAGATGGGATCAACATCTCTAAAGTACTAAAAGAAGGAACTGTCAACTCAGGATTCTACATCCAGCAGAAATATCCTGCAGGTGTGAAGTCAAAATAGAGCTACTCTCAGATGCAGCAAAAGTGAGATAATTTATTACCAGAATACATTTTCTGTAATAAATGATAAAGGAAATTCATCAGAGGCTAAAAGATAATGATAACAAAAGAAAGTTGGATTTTAGGGAATGAAGGAAGAGCAACAGAAGTGGTAAATATCTGGGTAAATATAAGAGACTTTTTAAAAAAGTTTTAAAAAACACCTAGGACCATTGGAAGCAAAACTTATAACATAAGCTGGTGGAGTTTTTAATGTGTGAGGATATAGTCAAATGACAATTATAACATAGAAGTCATTTGAAGGGAATATTAAAGGACTTTTATGTGGTTGCAAAGCTTCTATATTTTACTTGAATGTGAAAATATATATATATAGTAATCTCTAAAGCAACCACTAAAAAATAATACAAACAGATTTAGCCACAATGCTAATGATAAATTTAAAAAGACTACTAAAAATTATCTAAGTAACCCAAAAGAAGGCTGAAAAAGGGGCATATAGGAAAGAAACTAGAGGGAGGCTGGGCACAGTTGTTCATGCCTATAATCCGAGGACTTTGGTAGGCCAAGGCAGGAGGATCACTTGAGCCCAGGAGTTTGAGACCAGCTTGGCCAACATAGCAAGACTCCATCTCTACAAAAAATTAAGAAAAAAAAATTAGCCAGGCATGATGGCATGTGCTTGTAGTCCCAGCTACTCAGGAGGCTGAGGGGGGATCACTTGAGCTCAGGAGTTTGAGGCTATAGTGATCTATGATGGTGACACTGCACTTCAGTCCAGATGACAGAGCAAGACACTGTCTCAAAAACAGAAAAACAAATAAAAAAAGAAGAGACAAATGGAAATCAAAGAGTAAAGTGGTAGAACTAAATCCAACAATATGAATAAGTACATTAAATGCTGATGATCTAAACCCTTCAATTAAAAGTCCAGGATTGACAGAGTGAATAAAAAGGCAAGTTGTTATTATATGCTGCCGTCAAATGACACATTTCAAATGCAAAGGCACAGATAGGTTTAAAGTAAATATATACCATGCAAATAATAAGCATAAGAAGCCTAGAATGGCTATTTTTAAATCAGCTAAAATAGATTTCAAGACAAAGAGTATCACTAGAGATAAAGAGGGACATTTCATAATGATAAAAGGGACAGTTCATCCAGAAGACATAGCAATTATAAATGTATATGAACCTAGTAACAGAACCATTCCAATCCTGGAAATAAAAACAATAAAAAGGAATGAACCTTGATACATAACCGAGATGAATCTGAAATCATTATATTTAGTAAAAAAAAAAAAGCCAGGCAAAAAATAGCACATACCATATAATTTCATTTATATAAAATTCTGGAAAATACACACTAATTTATAGTGACAGAAAGTAGATTAGTGGTTGCTTACAAATGGAGGTAGAGGCAGGCATGGATGTTGAAGAACACAAATAAGTTTTTGGAAGTGATGGAAATGTTTGTTGTCTTTATCATGGCAATTTTTTTGAATGTAAAATGGTCAAAACTCAACAAACTACATTTAAATATGGAGTTTAGTGTACTTCAGTTATAACTCAGTAAGATTGGAGAAAAATAAATGCCTAAAAAAAGTAATGAGTACTTACTAAACACTTCTAACTTCAATCTAATACTACAGGAGTTTTCCTCTTCTTTTTCCTTTCCTTATTTGTATCTTGTTCTTCCACAATGATTCTCTCCAAAAGATTCTTAGCCTCCCTGGTTCTCAACAACATCAGCATATATAGTCATTTGCCAAAATAGTTTGGGAATTGTTATTGTATATCATTACCAAAACAAAACAAAGTTCAAACTTTCTTTGCAGTTCTTATTTTATTTAGAACATGTCCCCCTGAGAATGTACAGTTCAAATACTATGTTCTCAAGAGTTACTTGGATTGGGGGGAGGAATAGCATTAGGAGATATACCTAATGTAAATGACAAGTTAATGGGTGCAGCACACCAACATGGCACATGTATACATACGTAACAAACATGCACGTTGTGCACATGTACCCTAGAACTTAAAGTATAATAAAAAAATATATAAATAAGGTACATTATATGCAAAGTTAAAAAAAAGAGTTACTTGGATTGATGTTTCCCTTCTGTATAGACACCTTGTCAACTACCAAAGGTATATAGATAAATTCATTTGTTTCTGTTTATACAATTTTCCTCATCAAACATGAGGAAAACATTTGATGATTTAATTTTATTTTCACGTATAGTAAAATATTTGGTGGGTCAAAAAGTAAAACTAAACAAAAGGTACATTTAAAGAACTGTTCCCCTTTCTTAGCATTTTCTTCTTGTTTCAACTCACTCCCTGCCAGAAACCAATTTCCCTGGCTTCTGATTTATCCTTCCTATGTTTCTTTTGCAAAAATGGGAATATATTTTTATTTTACTTTCTTTCATACAAAAATATAACATACTATCTATGATTTTTACTTTAAAATATCCTGGCAATCACTTCACATCAATTTACAGAGCTATTTCTCATTTTTATAACTGTGTATTATGCCTTTGAATGGATATACAATGACTTATTCTACCAATCTATCATTCATATATGCATAACAGATTCTTCCCAATATTTTGTCCTTATAAATAATACTATAAGTTGAGAATCTTAATTAAAACATCTGAAATTCAAAATGCTCCAAAATCCAAAACTTTTTGAGTGCCGACATGATGCCACGAGTGGAAAATCTCACACCAGACTTTGCTTCATGGGTCACAGTCAAAATGCAATTAAAACCTTGTTTCATGCATAAAATTATTAAAAATATCGTATAAAGTTAACTTCAGGCTACATGTATAGGGTATATATAAAACGTAAATGAATATTATATTTAGACTTGGGTCTGATGCCCAAGATAGTTCATTATTTATATGCAAATATTACAAAATCCAAAAAATATCTGAAATTGGAAACACTTCTGTTCCCAAGCATTTCAGCTAAGGGATACTCAACATGTATCATGAATGATCTTGTACATATTTTGTTTCACATTTTAGGATATGGATCTTCAAAGTAAATTAATATATTATTATTTATTGGATGAAAGGTTAAATCCATACATAGTTGTGTTAGATACTGCCAGATATTAGATATTATATTAAATATAGCCAAATCCCTTCTGTAGAGTTCTACCATTTTGCATTCCCACCAGCATTGAAATTGAGTGCCAATTTTTCCATATCCTGTCAACAGAATGCTTTGTGAAGCTTTTGAAATTTTGCCAATCTTGTAATTGCAAGATGGTATCTATGTGATTTTAATTAGCATTTCTCTTATTCTGATGCTCTTTTTATATATTTATGGATGATTTGTATATCTTTCTTTGTTTCCTTGATTTTTATGAGTTGTTTGTGCAACAGGCGTGTTAAACCTTTATCTGTGATATGCATTGCCAATTGCTAATATTTTCCCATTATATAATGTGTCTTTTGACTGTGTTTTTGGCGATTTCAGCCATGTAAAAGTTTTTTTTAATGTAATTGTATTAATCAATATTGTCTTTTATTGATTCTGAATTGGGAGTCATAATAAGACTTTTTAATAAGCCAGATTATAAGATAACTCACCTGTGTCCTAGTCCATGTTACTATAAAGGAATACCAAGGCTGGGTAATTTCTGGGTAATTTATAAAGAAAAGAGGTTTATTTCACTCATGATTCTGCAGGCTTTTTAGGAGAAGCATGGTGCCAGCATCTACTTCTGGTGAGAGCTTCAAGCTGTGTCCACTCACGGCAGAAGGCAGGGGTGAGCCAGCTTGTGCAGAAATCACATGATGAGAGTGGAGGCAAGAGAGAGAAGAATCAAGAGAGGAAGAAGGTGCCAGGCGCTTGTTAACAACCAGGTGTCTCAGGAACTAATAGAGTGATAACTCACTCATTACGGGGAGGAGGCCTCAAGCCATTTATGAGAGATCCGCCCCCATGGCTCAAAACACCTTCCAGTAGGCACCCCCTCCAACATCGAGGATCAGATTTTAACATGAGATTTGGAGGGGTCAAATATCCAAACCATAGCACCCTGTTTTCCTTTAATCCTGTGTGATTTCATGTGTGCATCACACATCTGATCTATTTGCAGTTTATTCTTGGATAGGGTGTGAGGTATGGTTCCAATTTTATCCTTTTCCAAATAGTTATCCAATTGCCTTAGCATTATTTATTTTAAAGTTCGTCTTTTCTCCGGTGATTTGATATGATACCTTTTTCATATAATACGTTTCTTATGGACTTCATCTATTTCTTTATCTCCTGCTTTATTAGTCTGCCTATTAGTGCAGCAGTACCATACTGTTTTAATTTTGGACAGAGCCTCTGTGTTTTAATTGATGCACTAAATCCCTGTATGGGTATTGTAATTCTATTAATTGAGGAGTTATTTCTGCTATGTTATTTCATATTTTATTTTTATTCTACATTTATTTTTTATTTGTTTTCTTTATGGTTTCTATTGGATAGATCAAATTTTCTTATGCTTATTTAAAGGTTTTATCTTCTACTTTTTTATTATGGTGGCTGCCTTTAATCCAAAACCTATAATTATATTTATTTGTCTTGATAATGTCTACAATTTTAGTTTTGAGGGGTTAGAACAGCTAGGGGAGCAAACCAGACAAGTACTAAAGAAACCTCCATGTTTGATATAAACCCAATGCACAGGTCCACACAGACAGGGCATGGAGGTGTGCTCCGCAGGGGCACCGCACAGACCTGTGTGAGGGCAAGCCTGGATGCATGTACAACTAAACATCCTCACAGATACACTTTAGTGTAGGTGGAGACCTGGTTTATGGGTTTTTCTGTTTCTTTTTTTTCTTTTTGTTATTTGGATATGCTTTTTTCTTACATTTTCTTTGATCCTTGCTTTTTTTTTTTTACACAATAATTTGTACCAAGTAATTTGACCATTCTTCCATCATATTTCTCTCTCAGCACTTTCCTGAATTTATTTCTCTTTTTATCGGGTACTCTTCCAAGAGTGTTTTCAAATTGGGATTTTGTGTGGCAAACTTTCTGAGGCCTCATATTCCTGGAAATATGTTCATGGCGTTCTTGCATGTAAGTGACAATTTGGCTGGATATGAAATTCTAGGTTCAATATTCTTTTTCCTTTAATACTTCAAACGTATTTTTCTCCATGTTTTCCTATGCCCAATGTACTCTTCAGAAATCTAATAAATTGTGATTCCTTACTTTTTTAGGTGACTGTTTTATCTTTCTGGAAACTTTTAGAATTTTCTTCTGATTTTTTTCTTTTTCAAGACAGAGTCTTGCTCTGTTGCCCAGGCTGCAGTGCAATGGCTTGATCTTGGCTCCCTGCAACCTCTGCCTCCAAGGTTCAAGTGATTCTCATGACTCCACCTCCCAAGCAGCTGGGATTACAGGCATGTGCCACCACACTCAGCTAATTTTTGTACTTTTAATGGAGACGGGGTTTCGCTATGTTGGCCAGGCTGGTCTCGAACTCCTGTCCTCAAGTGATCTGCCTGCCTCGGCCTCCCAAAGTTTTGGGATTACAGGCGTGAGCCACTGCTCCTGGCCTTCTTCTGTATGTTTAATATTCTTAGTTTCACTGAAGTATTCTAGGTGTGGGTTTTTCTTTATTCTTGTTGGCACTGTGCAAGTCCTTTCCATCTGAAGTCTTTTGTCTTTTATTCTTATTTCTTCAAATGTTTCCTCCCCTTCATGTTTTTCCTCACCTCCTGGGAATCTCATTGTTTGGATATTAGCACCTCAGTTTACTTATAACCATATTGTAAGTAAATGTAAGTCACAACATTCTTAGCCTTTATTTCATATTTTCTATCTTTTCATCTGCTGCTGCTGCCCTGCGGGAGAACATCTCGACATGATCTTTCAGCTTAGAAATTCTGCTTTCAGGGATGTCCATCCAGTAATTTATCCCTTCTGTTTGTTTCAAATCATTCATATACAATATTTCTATTTGTTTCCTTTTTATAATTTATTCTACCTGTTCCATATTTTAGTATCTTCTCTTCTGTTGGGAATATTTATTATGCTTGTTTAAAATCTTGGTGTATCTGTCTCAATTATCCTGGTTCACAGGATGCGTATTGTTCAGTTTGTTGCCTTTCTTTTAAAGTGGTTTTATTCCTTGAGGTCAAATTAATTTGGCCCGTAAACTTATGTTCCCTTGGGGCTGTCAGTTATTCTGCGCAGTACTGTGTAGTGAAGGAGCATCTGAAATCTTAGTCTATTACTTCCTGCTGAATTTAAATAAGAGGGGAGGGAATGAGCTCCAAGCCAGAGAGCCCCTGGTTCCACAGAAACCCTCTTGATATGTTCCAGCAACCTGCTATCCCCCTTCCCAATTTAGGATCCCTTTTAGATGCTACTTTCTTACTGTGCAACCCCTCTGTCCAGTATTTTCCTTTCAAAGAAGCAGACTTGGGAGGTGGCCATCCCTTTAGTAGATCCAGCAGGCTTCAGGGTTAAAGGGGCAGCAGAGGATGTAGGATGGATGAACGAATGCCCAAGGGCAGACAGAAGTCCATTTCTGGTCCCATTAGCTCTTATCCTAATAGGGTTTTTGGTTTTCTCTGATTATATTCTTGGAATCTCTGAGGACTTGGTTATGATGCTGCTTGTTCTAGGTAGACAATGGTCACCTTGTGTGTGTGTGTGTGTGTGTGTGCATGTGTGTGTAGAGGGGGTACAAGACCACAACTTTGGAGCAACTAATATCCCACTGGGGCTTCTCCCTTTTCTATTCCCATTCATCCACCCACCCGTCTCCTTCACACACACTGGATCTCTGTCTTCAGAAGCCTTTGGTCTTCCTGGAATTTCTCACTGTTTTATCTTTGGATCATCAGATCCATGGTATATTTTCTCTGCTGTGGTTTCCCCAAGATTAATTTTGGAGGTGGGAGCCAGTAGCCTATGCTCATTGGCCATCTTGTCAGAAAACAATGACTCATTCTTTTGGGGGGTAAATGCTCAGTCTTCGAAATGTCTTCTCCCTCTCCCTGGTCCTCTTCATTGTGATAGTGAGTTTACAAGACCTTGTGCAGCTGTGGAGAGAAGGATATCTTGAATTTACATCATTTCAAATTGCCCAGCTTTCTCCTGCAGAATGGCTGATCTGGGCTTGTGCTCAGCCTCATGACCCCTGGAGGTTTGGCTGTTTGGGGGATTATGCTGGCACCACTGTCAGAGTTTATGGTCTGGTCTGTGACTCTAGATGGGAAGCAGCTAGAGCCCTTTCATCAGACATCAAGCTTCAGCTGGTCCATGGCCCACCAGGCACCAGGGCATGGGGTGGTCCTATACCGCCCCTGCAGGCCATCAATAGATGTAGCAGGGAAACAAGAGCACAGCCTCATGCTTGCCCAATGGTTGCTTGTATGCTCTGTGCCATGTCGGATGTGCCTGTGTGCTGGACTTCTGTTAGGCTGAAGCTTCCAGCCTCCCCTAACCTACACCTGACAGTGTAGTGCCATCCTTCTAATATTCTTGATTGCCCCACATTTATATAGATGCTTCCACAGTGTTTCCCTTAACTAAAACCTGTAGAGTTCTGTACAAACTTCTGTTACGACCTCTCTCCCTTTGCATCGTAAGTATTTATGTTTCTGTCTCCCCAGCTAGAGAGTGAGCTCCCTTAGGGGGGAAACTGTGTAATATTTTTCCTTGCACTTCTCAGCATCTGGCCTAGGGCTTGGCATAAAATAAGCACCAGGTAAATGTGTGTTGAACCAAACTGAATAATACAAACTAAAAACAGATAAGTGCTTTAAAAGAAGTGTTTGGGGGAGAAAGGCTTTATTTATGGTTTGGGGATATGGAATGGTTTCTTAAGAAGGTAATAGTGGAGGGTTTAGACTGATGGAAAGAGAACATTCAGGGTGAGGGGAACACTGTGAGCAAAGGCACAAAGATGGGAAAGCGCAGGATGTTCATTTGTTCCCTTTCAGGGCAGGAATTATTCCTTGGGCATCTTTGCAAACTCTCTGAATAGTTCCTTGAACGTAAGTGGTGCTAAGAATAAACTGCGCCGAGTGGAATAAAATCCCCATCTTCTCCTGCATCCCTCAGAAGTGGGGGTGCCCAGTGGTCATAGAAGACATTAAATCAGAAAGAAACAGGTCTTTCTTTGGTACAGACACATCCAAGATTATAATATTACACACCCTATATAGTCAAGGTTGCTGCAGGAAAGAAATGACATACTCAGACAAGTCCATTGAGGATAATTTAAGGGAGTGCTATTTACAAAGGTGTGGCTATTAAAGGAAACCAACAAGTGGGGTAAGGCACCTTGGCGAGAGCAAAGTTCCATCCCTGGGCATGCTGGGACCAGGGAAGGAGGAGTTACTCTGCATGAGACCGGGGCTGTCCAACCCTTAGATGCATTGCCAAACTGTGTGTGCATGTGTGTGTGCACGTGTGTGTGCATGTGTGTGTGCACGCATGTGTACACATGCATGCATGCAGCAGGGTGATCAGCCCTCTCATCTTCTTCCTCTGGAGTCTCCTGGAAGACCCAGTTGGAAGCCTCCAGGAGCACAGAGCAGGGTGGGGAAGGGAGGAGAGGAGATTGGCAGATGCAGAATATCTAGTACACACCCAAAGTCTCATTTAAATCTCACAACAGCCCAACGAGGATGACTTTAGTATTAACAACCATGTATTATTGGTGAGGAAGATAAGCCCTAAAAGGTTGATTTGCCCAGGATGAAAATGCTGCCACTAGGAAGACATTGATTTTCACTCCATATAGGACCAATTGTTCGGTGTGTATGTGCATGTGTGTCTATGTGGGCAGGGGCAGGTGGTAAGGACAGTGGGACACACAGCAGTCTGAAGCTCTCATGGGCCACCCCAAAATGGAATCCCTGGAGGGGGCTGGAGTAGTCTGGGCCTGGCATTGTGGTTCAGAAACTTAACCCTGGGACTTGGACACAGGAGAAACATTAGGGCTCCAGCCCCAAAAAAGGAGATAGTGGTGAGGAACAGTGAGCTACAGCAGGGACTCTCAAACTTTTGGTCTCAAGATCCCTTTACAGTCTTAAAAATTATGAAGGACCCCAAAGAGCTTTCGTTAATTGGGTTGAATTTCAAACAGTATTTTCTGTATTAGACATTAAGACAACAAAATTTTAAATACTTATTTTCAATTAATTTAAAAATAACATTCTGGCTAATACGGTGAAACCCCATCTCTACTAAAAAATACAAAAAAAAAAAAAAAAAAAATTAGTGGAGCATAGTGGCCAGCGCCTGTAGTCCCAGCTACTCGGGAGGCTGAGGCAGGAGAATGGCGTGAACCTGGGAGGCGGAGCTTGCTGTGAGCCGAGATCGCACCACTGTACTCCAGCCTGGGCGACAGAGAGAGACTCCATCTCAAAAAATAAATAAATAAATAAAATAAAATAAATAAATAAACAAACAGGCCAAGGCAGGAGGATCACTTGAGGCCAGGAGTTAGAGACCAGCCTGGGCAACATAGTGAGACCGTGTCTCCACAAAAAATGGAAAAAACTAGCCATGGCAGAGCATGCTTGTAATCCCAGGTACTCGGGAGGCTGAGGCAGGAGAATTGCTTGGGCCCAAGAGTTTGAGGTTGCAGTGAGCCATGATCTTGCCAGTGCACTTCAACTTGGGTGATAGAGCAAGACCCTATCACTAAAAAAATAAAAAGTAAAATTGCTGGGCACGGTGGCTCACGTCTGTAATCCCAGCACTTTGGGAGGCTGAGGTGGGAGAATCATGTGAGCCCAGGATTTCGAGACAAGCCTGGGCAACATGATAAGACTTCATCTCTACAAAACATACAAAAATTAGCTGGTAGCATGCACTGTAGTTTCAGCTACTCAGGAGGTTGAGGTGGAAGAATTGCTTGAACCCAGGAGGCTGAGACTGCAGTGGGTTGTGATTGCACCATTGCACTCCAGCCTGGGTGACACAGTGAGATCCTGTCTCAAAAATAAAAGAAAATAGTAAACATATTAGATACTAATATAAATAACATATTTTTATGAAAAGTAACATTTTCCAAAACAAAAGAACATCAGTGAGATGAGTGGCATTGTTATACATCTTTACAAATCTCTCTAATGTCTGGCAGAATTTTCCCACCACCTGCTTTTGCAATCAGTCTGTTGGGATATGTTGTTTTGGTTGAAATATGGGAAGAAAATCTGGCCTCATCCAGATATGTAGTTGCAAAAGGTAGGATTTTTTAATAGTTGTTTCAGATAATTGTGGCTATTTATCTTTGATACTACACTTAAACTCAATAAATGGTAGTTTCTTAAAGATTATTTACAATGTGGAATTTGAAACCATATCGACGAACATTTTACACTTGATTTTATGTACTGTATGAAATGCATGAAAATACACTGGTGGTTTTACAGCTTCCAATGATTCCTTTATCCATGTGTAAATCATGCATTGGACATTTGGAAAGTATTATTTCACTGAGTTATGAAGATCTTCCAAATGTTGACACATTTCATTATACAAATTTTTTTTTAAAAAGCCAAGACAGATTTGTTACTATTACCACTGACCTCATCAGGAAAGATCTTAAGTATTGGGATGCTATCAAGTTCATGGTGGTGAACACAAATTTTCCAAAATTCTAATTTTCATGTGAGAGCTCAAATGTTATCGTTGGCCACAAATCTGTCAATCGTTTTGCTTAAAGTGACAGGCTCACTTTGTTCATTTTCAAGACAATTTCTACCAAAAACACAAGTATTAATAACTGTGGCATGTCAGTTGTTTTTTCAGGTAAGAATGGTGTTCTGTGAAAGGAGTGGCTAGCTCAGCTCAAAGCTCAAACAATTGCACAAGCGTTTCTTCTGTGAGACAAGCATCACGTTTCAGCAAAAACGCCGTGTGTGTACTTCTAAGGTAGTCACACAGAATATTAAAAAGATGTGTACTCAAGGGTTGAGATGGAATAAAATTAGTGATTGCTACTGCTTCGTAAAGAATATTCATAAATAAAAATGGCTTTTAAAAAAACTGTGAGGGTGTAGTGACGAGAAAATAAAATGACTATTATCAGACTTCGTACTCTCACTTGGTTGATGTGGGTGTCAACAGTTTCACCCACCAATGCCTTTGCATCCCCAGTGCAAATGTCAGCACCATGAAAAGGACAAATCATGTGTTAGTATTATCATAAACATATTTTGATCTCATGGTCCCCTGAAAGTGTCTCGGGGAACCCCGGAGTCTTCAGCCACACTGAGAAAATCAGGAGTAGATGGCATGAGACCGGGGACGGCAGGGCCCCCCTGCTGGAGGAGCTGCTTCCGGCTTCTGCCCCATGCCCCTCATGGAGGCTGGGCTTTTGTTGCCCACACAGACGGCAGCATGCAGGAGGGTGGGCCAGTGTCGGGTTTGGGGGTTCTGTGTGTGCCAGGGGCCAGGCCATTCATCTGAAGTCTGTGCAGGTTGGAGGACACAGCCTCAGTGGAGAGTGGGGATTGAAAATAAAGGGGAGATTGTCTGGGGCAGCAGTTGCTAGAAGAGGAACCCAGCATGGACACTGGGTTGGGGGCTATTTTCTTAGAAGATACTCAGGAGCCTGCAGGCTGTAGGTGTGCTGAGGTGGCTCAGGGTGCCAGCCCCGCCGGCCTGGTCCAGGGCCTTCACCCCTCAGCGTCTCAGAGCTTTCATTTCCTCCTTTAGGTGCACAGAAATGGGGACTCTGTGAGTGGAGGAAGTCATCTCCCAATCTAGGCTTGTGGATCTGAAGAGGAGATAGGAATTCGTTTTAGGATCTGGATTCAGTAAAATCTTACGTACATATTACAGCTGGTTGGAACTGCACAAGTCCACTTATTCAAGGACTTTTTCCCACCCCTGCCGCCCTGAGACAGCAAGACCAATCTCTTCTCTTCCTCCTCCTCCTTGGCCTACTCAGCATGAAGATGACAAGGATGCAGACCTTTATGATGATCCACTTCCGCCTAATAAATAGTAAATGTATTTTCTCTTCCTCATGATTTTCTTTTCTCTAGCTTACTTTATTGTATGAATGCAGTACATCATACATATACAAAATATGTGTTAATAGACTATTGGTAAGGCTTCTGGTCAACAGTAGACTGTTAGTAGTTAAGTTTTGAGGAGTCAAAAGTTATATATGAATTTTTTTTATTTCAATAGGTTTTTGGGGAACAGGTGGTGTTTGAGTACACGAATAAGTTCTTTAGTGGGGATTTCTGAGATTTTGGTGCACCCATCACCCAAGCAGTGTACACTGTACCCAATGTGTAGTCTTTTCTATGGATTTTGAATTGTGGGGGAATTGGCGCCCCTAAATCCCTCATTGTTCAAGGGTCAAGTGTTCTTTTTTATAAGCAGAATCTTCATACACACAACCCTAATTGATTCTGAAGTCTGATGACTCACAGTTCCCCCATTCAAGCCAATGTTTGGTCTATTCCTTCCTGCCTCCCACCAGAAATTCCTGACACCCTCCTCTTCCACCCCCATGTCAATCCACTTCCCTCCCCTGCTTTACACTTGGCTGAGAATTCACGTCTTCCAGAAATCTTTCTCCATTACTCTTCCCCTCTGTCCTCCCTTGTAGAAACCGCTCTGTGATTAATTTCTAATCCCCTCAGTGTTCATAATACGTGAAGTAACCATCTTTGAACACCACTGTGTGCTCGGTACTATGCTGCCCACCTTACATGTGTTGCTTCTAATTCTCTTAAATTTTTTTTTCTCTTTTTAATTAGAGACGAGGTCGCACTATATTGCCCAGACAGGTCTTAAACTCCTGGGCTCAAGTGATCCTCCCACCTCGGTTCCCCAAAGTGTTTGGATTACAGGCATGAGCCACTGTGCCCGACTCTTCTAATTCTCATAATAAGAGTTACTCTCCTCTCCCCGTCTCTTCCTCTGGCTCTAACATCCAATCTATCAGCAAGCCCTGCTGATTCTACCTCCGATACATAACTTACATTCATTCTCTCTCTATCTCCACAACCACCTCCCTAATCCAAGCCATTTTCCTCTCCTGCCTCTACTACAGCATGGCCTCTTTCTAGTTTCTCTTCCAGCCTCCCACCCACTAGAATATAAGCTCTATGAGAGCAGACCTTGTATGTCATGTTCAGGACTCTATCTCCAGAGCCTAGCACAATGCCTGGCTCATGGGATCTGTTCAATGTTTACTTTTGAATGAATGAATGAATGAACAAATGGAAGAAGTGAATAAATGAAGGAATGTATAGCCATTATGCAGATCCATGAGGCTTATTAACTAATGGGATCCTGATCTCATGGCCTCACTGTGCAAAGGGGCACACTGAGATTCCAGCTATGAGTCTGGGCCACGAAAAGGTACAATTAATTGTAAGCTCCCTGAGAATGGATGATGGCTAACATTTGAACAGGTCCTTGGACCCCAGAACTGCTCTGATTTTGAAAGAGGAGACTCAGATTTCTGAATAGAGTCCATCAGTAATAGTTGTGTGATCTTTTAAATGAGTAATATCACTTACTAGAGTTACTTTCCCAGTCAATTGGGGATGATGATGTACTCATCTATACCTCAATGTAGCGACAGGGAAGCAGAGGGGCTGTGCCTTGGACAGGGGTGGTGGCAGTGGAGTTAGAGAGAAGGCATGAGGTTGAGACATGTGTTGGAGGCAGAATCAACAAGGCTTGCCAGCGTAAGGGGTGATTGTCATCATTCCTGACTGGGGGACTTGGGCTGGACTGCAGTCCAAGGTGAAACACAGCTTCCATTATTTGTGCACCTTTGTTTCAAGGTGATAGTGTCCCTGGTGCTGCCACTTTCTTGTTTGTCCATGAGTAAAGCCTTGGAGTCTCTTTTGGCCTCCCTTTTGTCCAGTGTAGCCTCAGGAGCACTGCGCCTTCCTGGGTGAGGCTGCCTTCCTTTTCACGCTCCAATTCCTACTCCACTCCCCGCCATCTTCTCCTCCTTCTCTGTAGGAGCGTCTCCTCAAGCCACAGGTCATCAGCCACTCCCTGCTCAGGCCCTGCAAGGGCTTGCCATTGCTTAGAGACACAATCCAAGCTCTTCAGCTTAGCCTCGGCTAAGCTCTCCTCACCCACTCCTACTTCTCTTTTCTAGCCTTGGTGGCCTTGTTCCTCCTCAGGTCCCCTGCACTTCAAGCAGACTCATTTACCCACTTCCATTTTCAGAGAGGGCTCAGTTGTTGTGGAATCTTAAACTCTTCGCTCTGGAAGATATCCGAATGGCACCTAATCCAGCCTCTCATCCGATTCAGGAATCCCTGCTGGAACCATCTGTGATACAATTGTTTTCCCTGGGCTGGGAATGTTGGCTCATGCCTGTAATCCCAACACTTTGGGAGGCCAAGGTGGGTAGATCACCTGAGGTCAGGAGTTCGAGACCAGCCTGGCTAACATGGCAAAACCCCATCTCTACTAAAAATACAAAAAAGTTAGCCAGGCGTGGTGGTGCACACCTGTAGTCCCAGCTTCTCAGGAGGCTGAGGCACAAAAATTGTTTGAACCCGGGAGATGGAGGTTGTGGTGAGCTGAGATCGCACCACTGCACTCCAGCTCTAGCATGACTCCATCTCAATTTAAAAAGAAAATTATTTTCCCTTGATTGAAACAGTCTCCACAGATTCCATCCTCCAAGTAGACACCAATGTCTCTCTTGCATTTTGTTTATTTTGCCACCTTGTCCACCCTTACTCCTTTCATTCAAATTCCCCCACTCTTTAAGGTCCCATTCAAATCTCACCTCCAAGCAGCTTTCTCTGGTCACCAAGCACACAGGAATCTTTCTTCCTTCTCTGTTCCCTTGGCATGATAGTTAGCAACACAAGTTTTATTAAACATTGTGATAAAACACATACAATTTGCCATCTACAGTTCTTTGGCTTTAAGTACTTTGACACTATTGTGTAGCCATCACCACTATCCATCTCTAGAACTCTTTTCATCTTGCCAAACTGTAACTTTATACCCATTAAACAGTAACTCCCCATCCCCTCCTCCCTACAGCCACTGGTAAGCACCATTCTACTTTGTCCTTACAAATTTGCTACTCTAGGTACCCCATCTAAGCAATATACAGTGCTATACAGTATTTCTCCTTTTGTGACTGGCTTATTTCACTGGGTGTAATGCCCTGTTCATCTCTATTGTAGTATATATGATAATTTCATTCTTTTTTAAGGCTGAATAATATTCCATTGTATGTATATGCCCCATTTTGTTTATCTATTCATCTATCCGTGGTGGAACACTTGGGTTGTTCCAGCTTTTGGCTGTTGGGAATAAGCAACACACATTTTGCATCAAACAGAACTGAGTTTAAATCCCAGCTTCGTTAACTTCCTAACTTGGGTAAGATGCCTAACCTTCAGGAGTCTCAGATTTCTTAAATGTAAAACACAATGGTCTGATCTGTCCTTTACTAGTTTTGTAGGCATGTGAAGTGGCTGGTGAGCACGACTGACAATTGGTAAGTTCTCGATGCATGCTAGGAAGCTACTAGACCACACAAGTGTCCCTTACCAATCAGGGCTCTGTATTGTTAGTTCCTCTGTATAAAATCTCAGGCAGTTCTATTTCCAGAACTAATGCTAGATTCTCAAGGTCTCAGTTCCAAGAACTTGACCCTAATAAGTAGCCAGTAACTCTTACTTGATTGTTTGACTTGGAGATGGTTGTATGGGAGTGTGTAAAAGTGTGAGTGTGTAAAAGCATGAGTGTGTGCACTGTATGTGCTCCAATAGGGAGCACTGGAGACGGCGTGAGGGTCTGTGGGTGGTAGGCAGGACTGGCGGCATACAAATCAGTGGGAGTGAGGGCTGGGGTGGGGTTGCAGGTGGGTGTTTTGTGCCCACTTGCTCTGCATTCGCTTGTACCTCAACCCCTTAGGGTTGCACATGCTACATTCTCAGTAGGGCTGGGAATGTGTGCAGAGTGTGGAAGTGAGCTGGGAGTTAGGGAACAAAGTAGGAGCACATACAGTCGCAGATTCTTTGTTCTGTTCAATGACTTCCCCTGCCCCATCTCTATGCAGACCCTAAAGAGTTGTTTTCTGTGCCAGCCTGGCCTGCCCATTCCTGCAGCCCAACAGAAGGACGATCCTTACTTGGCTTTTGCAAACCCCGGCCTGGTGGCAATGCGAGTCGCCTTCCAGCGTCTCTTCCTCCCCTTGCAGTTGCCACTTTGCTTTGGCAGGTGTGAAATATTAATTGCCTCACTGGGGACTGGGCTCTTTCTGTCTGTCGTGTCTGACCAGAATATCATTCTCTCCTGCAAATATAATTATGGGGTAGGGGAGGCGGGCTGAGTGTACGGGGGTGGGGGGTGGGCTGCCACATGGGGAGGTGGGAGCGCATGTGGGAGGGGTGATGAGAAGGGACTACAGCTTTTTTTCTTAATCGCCTCTCGACTGTCTGTTAATTAGGAGCCGTGCTTTGCTACATGCTGTGATATTTTGGTTAATTATAAAGAGAAAAGGACAAATTTGTCACGTCTTTTGTTTTCGTTCCACCACGTCTCCTGGTGACAGCGGTGTGAAGGCTGATGGACTGCTCAGGCAGCAGCACCAGATGCTCACACACACCCTCTGCCAGGGGCAGGCAGGGAGGGGTCCTCAGGGCTAGGAGGCAGCCAGGGGGCCACCAGGCAGGCTGGTGCACATGGGGCTGGTCTGGACTGGGTTCACAAGGGGTCAAATGGAGAGATTCACATTCTTGAATGTGAACGTGAAGTGGATGCCAGGAAGGAGTCCCCAGTCCCACTGAAGGAGAGGAAGGGGGAGATGTTCATTCCTCCGTTGTCCAGTTGGGTGATTGGCCTGACACCAATGCCCCAGGGATCAAGGCTGAACTTGCCGATAGCAATCAGAGCAGACAGGCAGGCTGTGACCCCTCCTAGGATCTTGAGGCAGTGGGGGGCATGTTCACCTTGCAGAGTGGGGCTGAGTAAAATATAGCATAGTATTCTATGAGCCTGTCACAAACGGGCCACCCAGGGATGTGAAAGGATGTGCTAGTTCTCCCTGCTACCATTTATTAGCTAAAGCCTATTTCAGGCTCCAGCTTATACATTATACCCCATCCCCCAACACACACACACACACGTACTGGGTTAGGAGTCACCTTCTCTGGGCTCTGAGGCTTACTAAGCTTCTATCATGTGATGGTTAATTGTATGTGTTAACTTGGCTAGGCTACGATACCCAGTTGTTTAGTCAAATACAAGTCTAGATACTGTTCTGAAGATTATTTTTATTTTTACTTTTATTTTTTGAGGCAGAGTTTTGCTCTATTGCCTAGGCTGGAGTGCAATGGTGTGATCTCGGCTCATGGCAACCTCCGCCTCCCGGGTTGAAGCAATTCTCCTGCCTTAGCCTCCCAAGTAGCTGGGATTACAGGTGCATGCCACCATACCCAGCTAATTTTTGTATATTTAGTAGAGATGGGGTTTCATCACATTGGCCAGGCTGGTCTCGAACTCCTGACCTCAAGCGATCCACCTGCCTCAGCCTCTGAAAGTTTTGGGATTATAGGCGTGAGCCACCACACCCGGCCTGTGAAGATTATTTTTAGATTGACAACCAATACACTGAATAAAGCAGATTACCCTCCATAATGTGGGTGGGCCTCATCCACTGAAGGTCTTAAGAGCAAAGACTGAGGTTTCCTGAAGAAGGAATTCTGGATCAATACTGAAACATAGAAATCGTACCTGAGTTTCTGACTGCTGGCCTGACCTACAGATTTGAGACTTGTCAGCCCTGACAATTGCATGGACCAGTTCCTTAAGATCTATCTATCTGTATTTGTTCTGTTTTTCTGATGAACCCCGATGGATACATATCCCATTGCATCTGGTTGTGGACTTTCCTGCTTTCCTGACCATCTCCTTCACTAGAATGTGAGGACAGAAACTAAACTGGGTCCTGTGTACCACGGCATCCCCTGGGCCTCGTGTAGGCCCTGCTTGTAATAGACCTTAATATGTATTTGTTGCACATTGAATGAATTCATTTGGGAAACAAGAAAGACGTACATCCCCGCACCAATCAAATAACCATCCAAGGCAGTACAGGCAGTTCCTGACTTATAAATAGGTTTAGTTCCAAAAATTCATTTGAGTTAGTTGTCTGAAGCTTTTTCCCATAACAACAAGGATATCAGTGCTGGCAAGCCTCCTGGGCTGGCTGCCAGAAACCTATTTAACCCATAGTATAGATTAAACACTGTGCATTTGCCATGAAAAATAGTAGAAAACAATATTCTTGCAAGGCTAGTAATTAGAAGAGAAGTATGATAGTATTGAATAAAAATAGGTAAAATTTTTCATTTAGAATATTGGAGTTTTGAAGAAAAATGGTTACAAAAGGATGAGCAAGTAGAGAGAGACTAATGGAAAATCGGAATGGAATTTCTGAGTATTTTCCAGGGTTTTAGAAGTCGATGGGACTGATTCTCTATTTGATCTAAGTTCTGCTCAGAACTCATGGCTGCTCCTCCCGCTCCCCTTTTGCTATAGAAGGAGGCCAGCTCTTATTGGTCTCAGGTAAGGGTGTTAGTTTGTTCACACATGTAACAAAAATAATAAAGAAATGGTGGGCTGTTTGGACAGGAGAGAGAGGGGGGAGAAAACCAGCACGGACAAGGATGTATATTTATGTGGGAATGAGATTGTCCAGGGTGAAATTAACTGAGCCATGAGGGGTGATTGCTGAGAAGGAGTGTGGGACAGAGGTCTGGAAGCCCAGGCTCTGAAGGGAGCTTAGGGAATGTGGAGGAGACGCTGAGTTAGACAGATTTCCACATTGGTCACCAGGAGGCACTGTTGCTCTGTTTTAGCCCAGGGCTGGGGGTGAGCAACATTTGAGGGGTTGGTGGGGCAAGCAGCATGCAGGGTGTGTGGTGGATGTTTCCAAGGTGGGGGTTAATCCTGCAAAAATACTCTCTGGTTATTGAGATCCTAATAAGTAGTGTGGACAACAAATGCCCAGAGAGCCATCGGAGGGAGTGCGGACTGTGAGAGAGCCACTGAGGTGAGCCTGGGGCTGGCCTCAAAAGGCGGCATAGTGGGGTCAACAGGAAGGCAGCTAAGAGGGAGGCCCACAGCTAGGAGGGCCAGGAGGAGCTCAGCTCCAGAGGACAGGGGGAGCCTGCTGTGTTGGGGAAAGGGAAATAACTCCAAGTGCTGACTTTGTGAAATAAACCAGCATCAACAATAATTTTAGGGTGGGGAGGGTTTTTTTCATTTTTTATTTTGATGAGGAGGAAGCAAAACAATAAGTTCTTTTTAAAAATCAAAAATTTATTTTGAAATAATGTTAGATTTACAGAAAGTTGCAAAGACAGTCTTACAATGCACCCTTCATCCAGCTTCCCCTAAGGTTTCTATCTTGCAGAACCATGATATATTTATCAAAATGAAGAAATTAACATTGGTACAATACCATTATGTAAACTCTAGACTTTCTGCTAATTTCTCTAGTACTCTCACTAATGTTTTTTTCCTGTTCCAGGATCCAATTCAGGATACCATGTTACATTTAGTCATCCTTCATCTCCTCTGGTTTATGACAGTTCTCAACCTTCCCTTGTTTTTCATGATCTTGACAGTTCAGAGGAACACCAATCAGATAGTTTGTAGACTGTCCCTAGTTTGGGCTTGTCCGTTGTCTTCTTATGATCTGAGTGAGGTGATGAGTTTTTAGGAAGAATATGACAGAGGTGAAGTGCCCTTCTCATTCTATCATATCAGGAGACACATGACATCCACATGACATGACTGCAGAAGCCAGCTCTGCAAGGTTCTCTCTTGGGATAGATTCAGCCTAATTTTCCAGAATAATCTAGCATTCCTGCCTAAGATGTACTTTATTATCTAGATAAACTAGAAAAGATTTCTTGCTTTAGAAAAGCTGCATATTTCAGCCATAAAAAAAGAATGAGATCATGTCCTTTGCAGGGACGTGGACGAAGCTGGAAGCCATTGTTCTCAGAAAACTAACACAAGAACAGAAAACCAAACACCGCATGTTCTAACTCATAAGTGGGAGTTGAACACTGAGAACACATGGACACAGGGAGGGGAACATCATACACTGGGGCCTGTTGGGGGGTGGGGGCAAAGGGAAGGGAGAGCATTAGGACAAATACCTAATGCATGCAGGGCTTAAAACCTAGATGACGGGTTGACAGGTGGAGCAAACCACCATGGCACATGTATACCTATGTAACAAACCTGCACGTTCTGCACATGTATCCCAGAACTTAAAGTATAATTAAAAAAAAAAAAGAAAGGAAAGTTGCATACTTTACCATGTCTGGATCCTCCACTGAAAAGTTACTATTTTCCTTTTCCTTCTTCTGTTTGTTTAGACGCCAGTCACTAAGTCCATCCCATACTCAATGGGATGGAAATTAAACTCCCACTCCTGGAGGAAAGCGTAGTAAAGAATTTATGGAGATATGTTAAAATCCCCAAGTAGTTGATATCTATTTTGAGAGGAGATGCTTTGAGGCTATGTAAATATCCTGTTTTCATGGGTTCATTATGAGGTAAGTTGATTTTGCTGTGACTACAGGACAGAGGACATATTTAGGAGGGAGGGAGAGACACAGGATGAGAGACATATGTGAGAGCCAGAGAAGTTAACTTTTTTTGCCTATGGCGTATCACCTAGCAACTTGTTCCCAGAGCTGGGACTAGAACCGAGTGTTGAGAACCTGGCAAGTCCGTGAAGAGAGGAAGCTATGGAGCTGGTGGAACAGGTGGGGGTGCAGGTAGGGGAGGAGTAAGGTGCGATTAGCATTGGTTTCTAGTGATGAATTCGTGGCCATCTTTTGCAGGGGAGGGATCAGGAACTTGGTCAGCTATAAGGATTCAGGCTGCCTTGTCCCATGACTTTCCCTGCTTTGCTGTGGGACTGACAGGGTTGAAGGAGATGCCCTGTGGCTTCTTTGAGGGCCTTACCTCTGACCTGTAGTGGGAGCCTGCCCCCCTGCCCACTCAGGAACTGTAAGCAGCTTCCTCTTTAGGGCTGCAGCTTCATACAACCCAACTTGCTGGTCCTCTGATTGATGGTCTATTCTTGATCAGCTCCCCCTGCCGCATCTCTTCCCCAGATTTGAAGCATCAGTCAACAGCTGGGATTCACTTTGGACCTGCTGGTGTGTGAATAGTGGCAATAGACTGTGACAGGAAGCTGATAGACCAGCGTTGGAACCTTTAAGGTTTTTCCTCTCCTATTTTGTTTTTCCATATCTCAGCTTTAAACACAGTCGCTGAAATTAGGAAGCTGTTTGTTTTTGCAGAGCTAGGCTTGGATCAGCAGCAAGATGACCCATGAGCTGGTTAGGAACCCCTTTTGCTGGAATCACTAGTTGCTTTAGGTGCACGGCAGGTGCTCCCCGCATATATGTACGTATGTATGTTTGTGTGTGTGTGTGTGTGTGTGTGTGTGTGTGTGTGTGAAGGGAACCATGTATTGTCTCAGTATCTTCAGCCTATCTTTGATTTATTTGATTTCATTGATCTGACCTGGCTCCAATTTACGTCTTCCAAGAAACCTTCCTTGATTAACTTAACATCAACCTAATTTTAATAGAGCTAATTTAACTGCAGTTCTATCCTGTCCTGTAAGTAGTACCGAATTGTTTCGAACGTGAATATTCAGACTCCCCATCTAGGGTGTAAGCTCTTTGAGGGCATCCCTTGTCTTTCTAATTCTGTGTTATTCACAGGCAGACTGAAGAATGAATATGTATGGTGCTTTTTTAAAAAAAAATCTTTTTTGACTCCTAGTGACTTTTAACTCCATTCATCCTCTGGAAGGGTTGAAGGTCTGGATCATACTGGCAGGAATCTAGGGTTATCCTGTCCATCCTTTGCCTATGTATGTGTTGTGAGAATGTCAGGTGCATGGAGAAAAGTGCTTCTTAGTCTAACCACATGGCCAGGCCTCTGTACTGCACTTCTCTATTTCCCCAAAGGCAACAGCAGAAAGCAGAAATAGCCTTCCTCAAAAGAGGTTCAAAGAATTCTTCTTATCTGAGTCAATGCCCCATCCCCAGTCTCTGCAGAGAAAGGGTCCCTGAGCCTGGAATAATGACACTGTGGACAGGCATCTTCCATCTATCAAGAAAGAGGAAAGAAGCACTGTTTCAATCCAGGTCTGTCTTTCTTTCTTTCTTTTTTTTTTTTTTTGGCCTTCTTATTTGCATTCAGTGAGGAGGTGACACATTGTAGAACATAACCTCCCTTTTTCATTCCATGAATCTAATCGTTATTTCTGTGTTTGTGAAAGATAAAGGATTAGCAAGAACGCTTTGCATTAAGTCGACATTTGTAAATGCTTTATAATTATTTATGAAATTATCCTGCATTTTATAGCATGGGAGATAATAACTTAAATTGATGTATTAAACATGCATGATCATTATTTTAACAATATTAAATTCACCTCTGTAGAATAATCATTTGATAAATATGAAGAAAGCATTCAGAAGTGGCACCTTAATTTAAGATATTACAGGATTCGTGACACCCAAATCCACGACCCTTTTTCTTGAAGACAGATGGAGTTTCTTATCTGGCTGCAGTGTTCCTCTTTCTTGAAGTGAAAATGAATTCTTAAATTAAGAATTATATTATCGAGGTAATTTTGGCAATGTGATGAGGCAATGGGAGAGGAGATAAGAAGCAGAATTTCCTGGGACCAGAACAAATTGGACAAACCTTATCTTCGCTTGTCTCCATCCTCCCATGCCCAGGGTACTGGAAGAGTCATCCAGTCTCTGGGTATCTTGCAGGGCTTTGGGGCAGAGGTAAGAGCTGACTGATGCTGGAGATGGTTACGTTATTTTCCCCTAATGCCAGGGCTTTGGGGCTGTTTTGAGCAGGGGAGACCTCAAACCAGAAGACCCATTTTGCACAGCAGGAGATCTCTCCAATGAGGGGGAGAATCCAGAGGAAATTTAAAATTCAGCAAAAAGGAGTGAGGAGAAAGAGGAGAGAGGAAAACTGTGAATCCCAATCCCTCATTTGTGCGAAGCTAGTTGGAGCCAAGCCAGTCTCCCCAGCAGTGCAGCTCCACCGTCTTCTACTGATGGTGTCCTCTGCTGGTCACTGTCAGCTTCAACACCATGCGTTCTAAGAGTATCATCAGTGGGTGTTAACTCCACCAGGAATGAGGCGCTTTCTAAGTTTTCGGCTCTGTGCTAAGTGTTTTATGAGGATGATCCTGTTTAATTCTCACACCAATCACTGGAAAACTGAGTTCCAGAGAGTTTAAGAGCAGGTCCGACCTTCTTAACTAATGGGCTATCTGGAGTCACCAGGCTAAAGAGCTGACCTGTGTGGCCATGTTATCCACCCACTCCAGGCCCAGGAATGAATGAAAATCTATTCTGCATGTAAAGGCCACACTCCAGAGTTTTAACGATCCTATTTGAAGTGCATCTTAGTCTCTAACTTAAATCCAGGAATATCTCAAGTGCACGTCCTTTGGGGTAGTATGGGTCTTAGAAATGGATATAATTTATTCTGAGGATTTAATACTCGCCTCTCTGGCTTCAAGTACTGGAAGCCATGCTGATTCTTCTTATTTTTCTCACGCCTTTTACCCAAGCCCCATCAGGAAAGCCTGTCAGCTCTACCAGAATCCAGCTTTCGTCACTCCCTACACTGTGACCATCTTGGCCTATGGGACCATCCTTGCCTATTTGTGCCCTTGCTATAGCCTCCTGGCTGCTCTTCCAGCCTCTGTGCTCTCCCTCTCTCCCCACGTCATCTATTCTGAACACAGCAGCCACAGTGACTCTGTTAGGACATAAATTGAATCATGTCCCTGCCTCCATCTCATTCCAGGTAAAAAACATCGAAGGACCCTACAAGGGTCTACAGAGCCCCTACATAACTTGACCTCTCTGACTACTTTGGTGCTTTTCTCCCCTTTGCTTGTTCTTTGCTCACTGTGTTCCAGCCCCACAGACCTCCCTGTGGGGCTCTTTGAATATGCAAGTCAAGCTCTGCCTCTGAACCTCGGCACTGGCAGAGCACTCTGCCTGGAATGCCCTTCCCCCAGGTATCTCAGGACTTCTTCCTTCTCCTCCCTCAAACTTCTGCTCAAATGCCACCTTCTTAGTGAGGCCTACCCTGACCACCCTATTTAAAATTGCATCCTCTGCCCTTCATTACCAACCTTCCTTGCCCTTTCATGTTTCTTCACAGCACTTGTCATTTTCTAGTACATCATACAATGCGCTTATGTATCATGTGTATTGCTTGCTCCATCCACTAGAATGTAAGGTCTCTGAGGGCAAACTTGTTTTTTTGCTTCTTCTTCTTCTCCTTTTTTTTTTGTTTTTTGTTTTTTGAGACAGGATCTCACTCTATCACCTGGGCTGCAGTGCAGTGGTATGATCATAGCTCACTGTGGCCTGGACCTCCTGGGCTCAAGTGATCTTCCCACTTCAAGCAGCTGGAACTACAGGTGCAAGCCACCGTGCCTGGCTAATTTTCTAAATTTTTTTTGTAGACTGGGGTCTCACTATGTTGTCCAGGCTGATCTCAAACTCTCAACCTCAAGTGATCCTCCCACCTCTGCCTCCGAAAGCACTGGGATTACAAGGCATGAGCTACCACACCTAGCTCAGGCAACGTTTTGGCCTGCTTTGTAACCTGCTACTTCCTAGCACCTGAAAAGTGCCTGGAACATTGTAGGTATTTAACAAATCCTTGTTAAATGCATGAATGATGGGCTGCTCCCTTGTCCCCAGCTGGTGGCAGTAGGGTGACAAACTGTCCTGGTTTTCCTTGTATTAGCCTGGTTTTAGCACTGAAAGTTCAGCCTCCTGGGACACAACTAGGACAGTTGGTCACCTGAGTGACAGGCAGGAAGAACACTAAGAAGGGACAGCTGTGCTCAGGAACCAGTGAGGCCTTTCTCCCAGCCTAGAGTCTGGAAGAGGCACCTGTCCTCCCCTACATCATCAGAGGATGAGGTGGGGGTAGGAGAATGGCTCCATCTCAGAAAAGGCCTTTTGAGTTATTGAAATTGCAGCTTACTATGAAGAAGAAAGTGAGTTTCTATTGCCCTGAAAGTGGCACAGGAATAGAAAAATGATAGTGTAATGATGTTCCAGTGGAACAATTATTTTCCTGAGATGGAGCAACATAAAGTATCACTTTGATTATGTGCTGCCTTCTTAGCCCACCCTCTCTGGCCTAGTTTAGTAGCCAATAAATCTTTGAGCCTCCCTGACCTGTGGCTGCTATCTCTGCAGGGACTCACTGGCTGGGCCAGTCCTCTCCTCATCTGCCCAATCCCTGCTTCTCCTAACTATGGTTTTGGATGATTAATCCAGGCCAGGGCTGAGGGCAGAGGTGAGAGGAGATGGATGCAGAGGGAGAGAGTGCTGCTTAAAGGCTCAGGCAGTAACTTGAGAGAGGAGCAGGGATCAGAAAGAAATTTTCAAGGCACCCTTGTTAGGATTGTCTGGGCATGAAAACAAAGAAGGATCAGTTATAAGGTGAAGGTGGGTCTGAAAGAGCTGGGGGCCAGAAGGGAGTCATCTGTGTTGCCACCTTGGGGGGTAAACATGAAGACCTTTCTATTATTACTATTATTTTAATTTCACTATTAAATCAGGTTGTTTGGTCCCTGAGTCTGCTGTCTTAGTTTGCATAGGCTGCTACAACAAAATACTTCAGACTGTGTGGCTTAAACAACACAAATTTATTTCTCACAGTTCTGAAGGCTGGGAAGTCCGAGGTCAAGCTGCCAACCGGTTTGGTTCCTGGTGAGGGCTCTCTTCTTGGCTGGCAGACAGCTGCCTTCCTGCTGTGTCCTCAGGTGGCAAAGAGAGAGCTCTGGTGTCTTCTTATAAAGGCACCAGCCCTTTTGGATTAGGGCCACATCCTATGACCTAATTTAACTTTTATTACTTCCTCACAGGTCGTGTCTCTTAATACATTACATTTGGGAGGACACGAACTTTTAGTCCATAACATCACTTCTATAGATCAAATGTTTGCATCCCCCCCTCCCCCCAAATTCTTATGTTGATGAATATGATAGGAGACAGAGGTCTTTGGGAGGTGATTAGGTCATGAGGGCAGAGCCTTCATGAATGGGATTAGTGTCCTTATAAAAGAGACCAGAGGAGCTCCCTCATCCCTTCTGCTATGTGAGGTTACAGTAGAATAGGAAGTGGCCCTCATCATGCAGCACAACTGCTGACATGTTGCTCTTGGACTTCCCAGCCTCCAGAACTCTGAGGAATAAATTCTGTTGTTAAGCCGCCAGTCTATGCTATTTTGTGATAGCAGCCCGAAGAGACTAAGACAACTGCCTCACTGGAATTGTTCCTCCTCAGCCTTCCTCTTGCCCTCTGGGCCCAGAAATTTGGTTTGAGACTAGCCATCTTTCAGCCTGAGGATTATATCTTGTGTCCAGATATTTAAATCGGTGGATGTCCAAGTGTGGTCTTTGGACCAGCAACAGCAGCTTCACCTGGGAACTTGTCACAAATACAAATTATCAGTCTCACCCCCAATCTTCCCAGGCCTCCTGAATCAGGGATTGGGCTGAGATCCAGCAATCTGGGTTTTAGCAAACTCTTCAGGTAGAGTAACTGCTTGAATAAAAGAATGCCTCCCTTGAGAACTGGCACTTTGTTTTTAAGCTTTAGAGTCAGACTTGCCTAGAATGCTGATAAAACACAGATTGCTGGGCCCCATCCTGAGTTTTTGATTCAGGCGGACTGGAGTGAGGCTTGATCATCTGCATTTCTAACACATTATTGGGATGCGATGCTGCTGGTCCTGGTACCACTGCTTTAAGTGAACCCTTCTGGCACCTTCCTGAAAAACTGCTCTTGTGGCCATGGTAGGACCCTCACTTTGGATCCAGTTCCAAAGTGTTCTCTGTTTCCTTTACCTGGATTTGACCGATCCTTGCATCCTGAGGTGACCTTGGGCTGTTGCTCTCTCCCCCATTGTCCAGCATTGGCAGTGGGGTGCCTGCTGTTTCCTGGCCAGAGCTTCCAAAGCACCTGCTTCCTCTCAATTTAGACTCCAGCTGGAGAATAGGTCCACATCACCTGGGCTCGAAATCTGGTTCTCTATCCCTGACTGGACCTCTTTCCTTGCCTCTTTCTCCTTCCAGGTACCTGGGTCCTCCCTTGCACCCAGACCTCACACATCACTGGATCTTTGTTTTAATTTCTATTCCTGAACCTTGATGCTAGAGCCAGAGTGCTACAGGATCCTACAGATGGCCAGACTTCATTGACACCAACTCCTGCTTCCCAACATTTCTGAACATGGCCTGCTGGGAGGTGATTCCCAGCCACTGTGATGTTCCTTGTGGCCTCCTCCCAAATGCATCTGGAGGGCCTGGGCCACTGGCTCCTGCCATTCTCTCCACCACACCCCTGCATCTGCTGGCTGCACAGTCCTCAGCACCAGCGTCAGCTCCAGTCTCTATGGGTTGGCCCATCACGGTGGGCACTTCTAGCCCCAAGTCCTCCCCGCTCTTAGGCTGCCTATCCCGTCATTCAGCTGTGGTACTTCTTCCAGTCTGGGCCACGTCTTTGAATACGACAGGTCTCAGGTTGTCCCTGGGGTGATGCGGCATTTAGAGATGCGGTGGTGCTAAATTCCATGTGGCTGTGGCCACTGAAGGATGTGCTTAGCTGTCGGCCAGGCTGCCAAATCCTCGAGATAAAGGACAGGTGGTGGGCTTTTTATTGCATTGTTATCAATTATAGGGGTCCTGCAGCAATTGCTGGCTGGGAATGAGGGGAATGAAGAAGCCTGTGGTTTTTGTCCTAATTTGTTTGGTTTGGGGCTGGACCCTAAGCTTGGGAACCACGGTAATCAGCCCAGCTGCAGAATTGGGCAAATGTAGCACATGGCTGTCATTGCTCTAAGGGGCTGGCTGGCATTGGAGCCATTGGCTCCAACAAGGGCTTTGTCCGCTCTGGGTTGGAGGGTGCTGTGATTGCGGTGGCGGATGTGGAGAGGGCCGCGGCTTTGATTTCCCAGTCTCTCCCTTCCTGCTCCCTCTCCGCCCCTTTTGGCTTGAGGAGCTGTCCCGTTGCTGAGTCTCAGGGTTGGGGGTTAAGGAGGGAACCTTGGGATTAGGAGGGCAGAGGAGTAGGGACCACACAGACTCTGAGTGTCTGGAAGCTTGTTTGATGGGGAGGTTGGAGTTTGGTGCTTGCTGAGCAGGGAAAAGTGGAGAGAGGGGAGCATCACAGCCACATAACAAATGGAAGCTGTGCATAGGCCCAGAGCTCTGGGGAGAGAGCATCTGCAATCTACCGAGCCAAGCAGAAAATTAAAAGATGACTCCACATGCACGCTAAAGCTCTGGGTGGAAGTGGGTAGGCAGGAGCCAGAGAAGTCATGACACCGGGTCTCTGGAGAGGGGCTCTGGGTTAACCACTGACAGGACTGGGGCTGGGGGCATCCCCCAGGGTGGGGCTCATCCTTTTCATCTGGGAGTGCATTCACAAGGCCTGTCAGTGGAGCTCCGGCTGTGGGAGACATATCCACTGGGATATGTCCCCCGACTATCGGGGTGCCAGGGCCTCTGGGGACCCCTCCCCACCCTGGCTTCCCTCTGTCCTACTTGAGATGCCTCACCCTCCGCTGACCAGTGTGATCGGTGGGTGCCCTCAGGCACGTGGCTACAATGTGCTGCAGTGTCCAGAATCTGTGACATTTGGGTGTGACTCTAGCTCTTTGCTTATAATTATGAAAAAAATAACAGGAGGAGGGATCTAGGGCAGACATCAGGAAGACACTCTCACTTATGAAAGTAGGTTGAGTACTGGAAGAAAGGACCGAGAGTTGACTGGATGGTCCATGCCGGAACTTTGGAATGCCGGAAGGGGAGGAGCTGATAGCCGGCCTTACTGCAGGCTGGGAAGGAGCTCACCAATCTAAGACAGGTAGGGTTCTCTGGGTAGACTTGAGGTCAGTGCCCACCTTGGAGCTATAGACTCCCCAGCTACCATTTTCTTCCTTTGTTGAGAATCTTCCCTGTAGCGAGCCCAGAGAGTCAGCCCCCATGGTTTAATGGGGCACAGGGCCATTAAGAGATGTGTAAGTTGGGAGCAGACGCTGGGTCTCAGTCTATTTTAGGCCAAATGCCCCTCTATGTCTTCCACGTAGAGATCTGTTGGATATAGTTCCTTCTTCTTTCTGTCGGCCAGACTAGAGGATACTGCTCTTTTCCAAACCCATGGCAAACACCAGCTGTTGGATTTTTATTGTACCTTTGACATTTCCAAAGAGTCTGAATGGACGGAAGAAGAGGCAATGACAAGATAAAAAACACCCAAATCCTGAGAGATGGACAGCACAGTGAGAGGCTAAGGGAGAGGTGGATCTGTGAGCAGGGCAGCAGTTGACACGAGACTCATGGGCTGTGGCCCAAAGCCAGGGCTCAGGTTTGGTGTGAGGAAGGTGCATTTTCCCCCACCTATGTCCCCTTGCAGAAGGGCTGCAAGCCAGACCCTGCTTTGCTGGTGGGGTGGCCTCAATCTCTTTAGCCCTACAATTTCATCCTGATGACCGGCCATCTCCCTTGCAAGCTTTATCACACTGATTCCATGTCTGTTATTCTCACTATGGTGAACAGCAACTATGTCTATTTTGTTCATCATTGTATCTTCTGGGCCTAGGCCATAGTAGGAACTCAGTAAAGGTGGTAAAATGCATTGATTCATGAGGGACGTAGTGCTGCTGGGTTCTGAAGGCACAGTGGCCGCTGTGGGCCCTGAGGGCGCAGTGGCCGCTGTGGGCCCTGAGGGTGCAGTGGCTGCTATGGGCCCTGAGGGTGCAGTGGCTGCTGGGGGCTCTTTCATCTTGTTTATTTTCCTCTCCCTTCTCTGTCTTCTACTACCCTCCATTTCTCTTTTCTCACTTTCTCTATTTCCTCTCCATAAACCTGGCCTGGTCACTGGCTATTCTTAACCATACAGGCAGATGTATTTATAGCATAGAGTCTCCACTGGGAATCTCCCAAAAGTCCTAATCCCAGTATGGAAATATGTGGCCAGGGTCCCAATGTGTTCCTTTCATGGACCTTCCCAGGATCCCCCTTCCCCACGGTCTCCCCAAGGCATCATGAGAGGACTGAGTCAGACTTCTCCACAGGGCAGGCTGGGCAGCCCAGAATAAGATTTGACTTGGTGTGTGGTCATCATGACCATACATCACACCCACGTTCTCCTAGACTTGCTGATTCTTAAAATTCTTTTCAAAGAGTAAAGAAACCAACTCGATTTTCCTAATGTGACTGACTGTGCTCTCAGAGTTGCAACTCTGTTCCCAGAAGATTTCTCCATCAAGGTAGCCCTGTGAGCTTTGTGCAGAAAATTTGAAGGTAGTGTCTTTTATAGGAGAGACTAATTTATAGCACAGAAAAGAACAGTGAAGTTTGTTTGTGTTTTTTTGTTTGTTTGTTTGTTTTTTGTTTTTTTGAGGTGGAGTCTTGCTCTGTTGCCCAGGCTGGAGTGAAGTGGCATGATCTTGGCTCACTGCAACCTCCGCCTCCCGGGTTCAAGTGATTCTGCTGCCTCAGCCTCCTGAGTAGCTGGGATTACAGACAGTTGCCACCATGCCCAGCTAAATTATTTTGTATTTTTAGTAGAGATGAGGTTTCACCATGTTGGCCAGGCTGGTCTCGAACTCTTGACCTCAGGTGATCCACCACCTCGGCCTCCCAAAGTACTGGGATTACAGGTGTGAGCCACCGTGCCTGACCTAGAATTTTTTTAAAAGGAAAGGTCAGTGGGGAAAGGGGAACAGATGTCAGGATTCCATCAGTGATTTACTCAAAAAGTCAACTGCTAGAGAATATCTGAGAATCAGTACATGGTTACCCTAGCTGTCTATACCTTCTATCTTGACACCTGCTGTCATGGAAAATAATAACCGACATGGCCCAGAAATTCTGTGAGACTCTTATCCACCAAAGAAGAATTTGGTGCCACATTCTGCTGTCCAGCGTGTGATAGCCATTTTTTGGTTTTGTTTTGTTTTGAGATGGAGTTTCGCTCTTGTTGCCCAGGCTGGAGTGTAGTGGTGCAGGCTCTGCTCACTGCAACCTCTGCCTCCCAGGTTCAAGAGATTCTCCCGCCTCAGCCTCCCAAGTAGCTGGGATTACAGGTATGCACTAGCACACCCGGCTAATTTTTGTATTTTTAGTAGAGACAGGGTTTCACCATGTTGGCCAGGCTGGTCTTGAACTCCTCACCTCAGGTGATCCACCCACCTTGGCCTCCCAAAGTGCTGAGATTACAGGTGTTAGCCACCATGCCTGGCCTGATAGTGTTTTTAATAGACCTGGCATGCCCATGCACTCAGTCCTGCCTTTGGGACCTGAAAAGTAACCCCACTGTGGCTGGCAGCCTTTAGGGTTGCCCTCAGCATTCTCTGCCCCTTGGTGTTCACTCACTTGTGTAATCTCTTCCCCTTTGGTGTGGGCTGAACTTATGGATTTGCTCCTAATGAATGGAATGAGACAGAATTGATGACATGTCACTTCCAATATTAGGTTATAAAAAGACTGTGGCTTCCACCTGGAACACTTGCTCTCTCCTGGTTTCTCTCTCACTGTTTCTTCCTCTCCCTCTTTCTCCAATCGCCAGCTCCCATGTTTGAGGACCCTTAGGCAGCCTTTGGGAAGGCCTATGGGATGAGGAATTGAGGCCTTCCTCAATCACGTGAGTGAGCTTAAAAGTGGATCCTCCCTCTCCATTTAGAGGCTTAGAGGAGGCAGAGCTCCCATCTCCACCTTGACTCAATCCTCAGGAGAGGCTTTGAGCCACTGGCATCCAGCCAAGACATTCCCAGTTTCCCCACAAAAACTGCAAGATAGTGAATGTGGGTTGTTTCAGGTCTGGGGTAATTTGTTATGTAGCAATGGATAATGAATATCCCCAGATGTTGCCAATTCTTGAGCACTGGGGATCTTTCAGACTCCTTCCTATTCACCACTGTCCCTATGTCCTTTCCTCCAGCTTCCTGACTGTTCCCATCCCTCCCGTAGCCTCCTTTAGGCTCCTTCTCTAATGGCTTTAATGGCTGGTCAGGTCTTGGCCTTATCATGTGGCTTTGAACTTGGTACCTCCCCAGACATAATGTTGGGGATCTGCCTTCTGACTTCACACTTCATAATCTTGTGTAAGAAATTACCTACGGACACCAGGCGCTGTAGCTCATACCTGTAATCCCAGCACCTGGGGTGGTTAAGGCTGGAGGATTGCTTGAGTTTAGGAGTTCAAGACCCACCTGGGCAACATAGAGAGACCCTGTCTCTACGAAAAAAAATTAAAAATCAGACAGGCATGGTTGCGTGTGCCTGTAGTCCTTGCTACTATGAGGCTAAAGCAGGAGGATCGCTTGGGCCCAGGTGTTTGAGGTTACAGTGAGCTATGATCTTAACACTGCACTCCAGCCTGGATGACAGAGACAGATCCTGTCTCTAAAAAAAGAAAAAGAAAAAGAAAAAAAAAGGAACTACCTTCTGAATTCCACTCTGGCCAGGCTTGCCTCTCACCTTCCCCCAGGTCTGACCAGAAGCAGGATCAGAAAATAAGCTGACTTACTAGAGCAAGAAAGCTTAACCAGACGCCCTGGCAAGGTTTTCAGTGAAAGCTGAAACAATCTCCTTATCATGAGAAAATTCATCACATTGTAACTTTCACCCCAATCTTAGTGTGCCTATCAATCAGGACTTTCCTGCATTTGTTAGCTGATGGATGGCAAATAGTGGGCCCATTACTTTGTAAAAACAAGATGTTGTTTTCAGATATTTTTCTTTCCTTCCTCGTCCTTCCACCCCTGCCTCACTTAAAAGCTTTCATTCTTTAAGTCCATTCAGCATTTCATTCATTATTATCATTATTTTTGGAATTTAGACATTAAAATAATTGAGTCTGGATTTCATTACCAGGCTCTGGTGACTTAGGGTAAATATTCTGTGAAACTGAAAGAGTACTTGGCTACTTTTTCTCAGAGCTCCTGGTTTCATGATAGGTCAGGCGTTGAAGTAAATTGGAGGTCAAGCCAAGGTTTCAATTCATGTTCACTGGATTGCCAACAGATACTGATGACTCACATTAAATTCCATGTTTCTGTGTGGGTTGGAGGATGTCTAGCCTTGGTTGGAAATTGGACGTGACATTCTTCATCTATTGTCGCTAAGGAAATATTATACTAATAGACGAAAATGCTTGGTGACAAGAGATGAGTGGTTTGCATACAGGAGATGCATGGCGCTTGTGGACTGAAATGATGAACGGAGATTAAGACCTGTGTGGCCACTCCATCCCTTCCTGGATGATTTAATCTATGATCATACTTGAGTCATCATCTGTGACCTGATAATTTCCAAAGCATTATCTCCAGGCCATTATTTCTCTGGAGCTCTGTACTCATGAATCTAACCACTCACTGGACACCTGACCTTGAATGTTCTTAAGAAACTGAAAGCTCTTCATGTCAAAATTGAACTTACTATTTTCACCCAAAACTACTCCCTCATCCTCTCTTTCCCACCTTCTAAAATCCCTCTGCTTTGCTCAAGCCAGAAAAATGGGGTCAGACGTGGCTCCCACCTCTCCCTCACACTGTACTTGTGGTCAGTCACCGTTTGGACGGTTCTATCTCTTGCCTGTCTCTGGAAGGGGCCACATCTCCCCATCCCCACTGTCACTCTCATCTCTCTTGCATGACTCCTAACTGGCTGTTGGCTTCTAGGGTGGCCTCTGGCCAGTCCGTCCTCTACACTCCTGCCAGAGGGATGAACACAAAAAGTGCTTCTGTTCACATCATTCTGCCAAAAACCACTCAAAGATGCTCAGTCACCCCTGGGGTAAGCTGCCTAAGCTGTGAGCACAGCCGCAAGGTCCTGCCTCATGTGATCTGGCCCTTTTTACCTCTCCAGCTGTATAATTTTTTCACAACACACTTTGAATTTTATATTTCAGACACAGTAAACTGCTTATAGCTGCTCTCTCTCTGGTGCCTTTGCACACAGGATTTCCTTGCCTGGAACTCTTTCCCTCAACTCACTTCTTGGCCTGGGTTTCTTCTCTTTGTTCTTCCAAACTCAAATGAGATGCCATCTCCCCTGAGAAATCTTCCCTATTTCCCAAGCCCAGGTTGGATATTCCTTGGTGTGGTTCTGCGGCACCCTACACTTGCTCTGTCGTTGTAAATACCTGCTTGCCTTCTTGAAAGCGGGCTGGCCATCGTATCCAGCACCTAGAACAGTGCCTAACCCATGGGAGGGGATCAGTAAATACATGATTGGCCCACAAGGGATGTTGAAGATCTACTGAAGGGAAGTTTTCCACCATCTAGGTACTGGTCCATAATAAAAATCTGCCACCCATCCAACCCACCCAGCCCATCCATAGTAAGGCTAATGAGCTGCTGTAATAGAATGAATGCTAGACCCAGGGTCCTGAGGTTGCAGGTTTGAATTCGAGCTCTGCTTCTTATTAGGAGAAGTTACTCAACATCTAAGCTTAGTTTACTCAGCTGTGAAGCAGGAACCGTAACACACACTAGACAGGGTTGGTGTGAGGACCACACAAGACGGCGGGCGCTAATGCTCCCACCTCAGTCAACTGTTGGATAGGATGGAGCTGTCCCCTCTGCTCCCACAGAAGCCCAGACCTGGGGCCATGAACTTGTGCTTTCAAAAGCGGGGCTGACAGAGCAGACTTGATAAAGACCCTGGTTGTCGGATATGATAATAATAGTCTCATTTATTAATATAAAGGCCTGCTAATAGAGGCGGCACTTTTAATTAGCCAACACGGCCACGATATTAATTTTTATCCAGTTATTTAAGTCCAGGAGCCTTCCTCCCCTCTCTGTTAGCACTTAGCTGGAGGGTGATTGAGAACACTTGTAATTGGATTTCTGTGCAGGACTTAATTATAAGGAGACAATAAAGCCCCTGAAATGCGGCAGGTTCTACCCTGCTAACTATTATTTTCCAGAGACACGCTCACACCAATGAATGCACAGATTTATCTAAATTATAATTTTTAAACTTAACAAAGCTTCACTTCCCCCTCCCCCACCAAGCCTGAGAGGAGTCTGCAGGGAGTACAGATTTGCAGGGAGGAGGGCACAGAGGCAGAATACTTCATTCCTGTAATCAAGTCTTTCACTCCATGGGCCACTGAGCGGCTTCCCCAGGCCCCTTGGGATCTCCCAAGTGTATTTTCTTCCCTTGGCCAAATGGCTTATTAATAGAATTGGCTTATTTATATCTCACCTAGAAAAATCCCAAAGTGTTACAGCAACAGGGAGATATTGAGCCAATTAGTTGTTGGGCTTGTTGTCATGGGGGGGAAATTTAGTTATTAATTTACTGCCCTTCACCAGTGGCGGAATCGATTCAGAGGAAACCAGAAGGGAAAAAAAGCCACGTGTCTCAGACCATCTGAGAAAACTCAGAGACAAGGCTAAACCATTTATACCTCCAGCGAAGCTGTCTAACTTTACGAGAGCGAGGAGACTGAGGCCTCTGCTGTGGTCAGCTACGTGTGGCATGGGTACCAACCTCTACGGAGCATCTACTGTGGCCTGACTGTTTACAAACATCAAACCACTCTGTGAAACAGGCTTATTTCATCCACTGCATAGAAGAAGAAACTTGTGCATCCATGCATTCAATATTTGCTGAATCCTATATCATAAGATAGGCCTCGGAGACACAGTGGTGGACAGGACAGAACCTGCCCTTCTGGAGCCTACGTTCCTGCTCAATGCAGAGATAGTCCCAAGGTCACTGATCCACATTCATGCTTGGCCGGGCTTAGATAGGAAACCAGGCAGGTTCTACCAATGCCAAAGTCTGGGGAATTGCTTTTCCTTTTCTTGAATGCTAGGTTTTGGGGTCTTGTGGCCTCCTACAAAGCCCACACTGTGAGTCACCATCCACCTTCTTTGCTGGGCAACCTCAGAGGAGGAAAAGACGTCACTAATTTAGTTTAGGACCTGGGAGGTGGAGTGGAGTTTCCCTGAGATAAGGGAATGGGAGAGGACCTTCTGCTATTCTATGAAAGTAATTGTGGCTGATGAGGAGTTTTGGAGTACAGTATTTTTTTTATTACAATTGTCATTACACTTGTAGATATTTGGGAGGGTGATTGGGAAACAGAATAAAGTAACAAGTAAAATTCTCACATAATCCTACTCCCCTATTTAGACCACACTGTAACATGCTGTGAACAGTTTTCCAAATCATTAAAAATTCTCTGTGGACATAATTTTAAATCAGAATATAATATTTCATCTTGTGGACATACTATAATTTATTTAACTCTCCCATATTGGCAGTATTTAATTTGTTTCTACTTATTATTTTAAATAAAAGACATGTACATATATGTTTGTCCTTGTTTTTACCTGCTCAGAATGGAAGTGAAATTATTACCACAAAGAGAATGAATATTTTAAAGGCCCTTGAGACTTACTGCCATCTTGTGTTCTAGAAATATTGTACAAATTTCTAATAGTGTGAGAGGGCCCAGCATTGTAGTACACCTTCCTTCATCAATAATCCACATTGACTTTTACAAGTATTTGCTAATTTAATAGGGCAAAAATTGTATTTCATTATTGTGTTTTTTTCACATATATTGATTGCTAGTGAGCTTCAACATTTCTTTGTGTGTCTAAATAATCATTAGCATTTCTTCTGCAAATAGTCTATTCTCATCCTTTGCACATTTTTCTTTTGGGTTTAGTGGGGCTTTTTATGTGTATAAGTGCTATTTTGTATTTTAAGAACATTAACTTTTTGATGTTTTTGTTGAAGACATTTTTTCTCAGGTTGATTTTGCTGTTTACTTTATTTTCTATGATGTTTTTTATAGATATGGTTTGAATTTATATGCAGCCAAATATATCTATTCTTTCTTTGTGATTCCTCCAATTGCTTTTATACTTAGAAATTCCATCTCCACACTGAGATAAACATACTAATATTTTATTCTAAGTATTTTATGATTTTTTTTTGAGGTCGGGGGACAGAGTCTTGCTCTGCCGCCCAGGCTAGAGTACAGTGGGGCAGTCCCGTCTCACTGCAGCCTTGACCCCCTGAGCTCCAGTGATCTTCCCACCTCAGCCTCTGGAGTAGCTGGGACTACAGGCCCACACCACCACTCCTGGTTAAGAAGGTTTAGAATTGTTTTTTCTTTTATTTTTGTAGAGGTGATATCTCCCTATGTTGCCCAGGCTGGTCTCAAATTCCTGGGCTCAAGTGATTCTCCTCCCTAGGCCTCCCAAAGTGCTGGGATTACAGGTGTGAGCAACCCCACTGCCCAGTCAGGTTTGATTTTTTCACATTTAATTTTTTAGTTTATTTGGGATTTATTTTGTTCTGTGTTGCATCATGGTAAGGATTTAGACTGATATTTCCCCAAATAGTTAAACATTTATCCCTGAATCACTTATTAAGGAATGCTTTTGGCTGGGCGTGGTGGCTTACGCCTGTAATCCCAATACTTTGGGAGGCCAAGGTGGGTGCAAGGCTTGAGCTCAGGAAATTGAGACCAGCCTGGGCAACATGGTGAAACCCCATCTCTACAAAAAATACAGACATTAGCTGGGCGTGGTGGTGTGCATCCTGTAGTTCTAGCTACGTGGGAGGCTGAGGAGGGAGGATCCCTTGAGCTTGAGAGGCAGAGGTTGCAGTGAGCTGAGATCGTGCCACTGCACTCCAGCCTGGGTGACAGAGTGAGACCCTGTTTAAGAAAAAAAAAAACAAGGCTTCCTTTCCCCATTGGCTTAGATGCTGCCTTTGGCTTACGCTAAATTTTTAAACATATATATACAGTAGACTGTTCTGAGCTGTCTTATTCTGTTCAGTTGGTTCTTCTATTACAATCACACTGTTTTAATTACTGTATCTTTATTCATTCACACATTTAAAAATACAACATATTTGTGTATGAAATATAGCATTTTAATATCTGGCAGAAAAATCTCCCATAGTTACTCTGTTTTTTAGGAGGAAAAAAGACTACTTCTGTTCATGTATTTTCCAGATAAATTTTAGAGTCATGCTGTCTAGAAAAAAAAAATCTCATTTGGGATTTTGTAAAGGATTAAATTAAATATATATCTTAATTCATGAAGCATTTGCATCTTTATACTATTCAGTCCTACCGTTCGGGAAAATGACATGCTACTTTCTTTTCCCCCTTATGTTGTTTTTGCAGCTTTAACTCTTTGATCTAAATGGGATTTTAGTGTGTACTGTGAGATGAGAATCAAAATTAATTCCCTTTCAATTAGTCAATTTTCCCAAACTCCAGTTTTTGCATAACTCACACCTTCTCCAATGACTTATAATGTTTCTTTTATCATTTATTAAGTCCTTATGTATAGGAGGGTCTGTTTCTAGGCCATCTATTTATTCTCATTGATCTGATTACTGTCTGTCTTTCCTAGTACTAGAGGGAAGTGCCACCCCCCTCCAGATGGCTCTCGGAGTCACTATCTGCTTTCTGCAAAACCAGGATTCATTTCGTGAATACAGAGTCAGCTCCTTGGTCAGAGGCTCTGCTTGGAAGCTTTCTAGTGCCTCAAGGCACTCAAATGGAGCAGGTTGATGCCAGGGCTTTGGTTTTAGTTCAGAAAACACCCAGGCCAATGGAGACTGATTCCTGATCCCTGCCACTTTCCTTCTCTCAGTTCAGTATGGCCAGATGCTGGCTGAAAGGGGGTCCCAGACTCCAGACTCCCCAGGCAAGAGTGAGGGCCCAGAAAGCTTCAGAGAGGTGTACAAGATAATAATGCTATACTACAAATCTCTGCATTTCTCAGCTGCCTGCTTTGTGCCAGGCCTGTGATGAGGACATTATATACCTTAGTTCTAACTTTTACCATAACTGCCTGAGCTAATGCTAGCCACATTTTCCACATTAGAAGATGCTCAGAGGGAGTAAGAAACTTACCACATATCACCCGACTACAAAGTGGCTTATTTTTCATCCCAGTTGTGTCCAGTTCCAAAATCCACAATCAATACTTCCGAGCCACTGGTAGTTGACTCAGCCAGAACGACCACCACAGCCCCTCCCCTGGAGAAAATGGTTTAGGCTTGTTGAGCTTTGCTTCGTCTCCAACTCCAGCTCTCGTGGTAACAGAATCTGGTGATGTGAGGACAGAGGTTTGAAGCTGGTCACCTGAGCCTGAGCTCAGTGGCCATCTCTCTACCCAGGGTAGTGGGGTCCATACCACGCTTGGTGGGGGTGGGAGCTCTGCTTCCCTTCCTCACCCCAGACCACCGCACCTTCCTCGTCCCAGTCAGGCAGGCGAGTTTCCTTGTTACCTGCAGATGCTAACTTCTGTGGTGTAGGGGAGAGAGCTTGTGTATGTAGCAGGGTAAGGTGGGGCGGGGTGGTAGGAGGAAGACAGGCAGAAGCCCATTGCTTTAAAAAGGGTTCTGTGGGACTGGCCACCTTCTATCAAAACAGTGGTTGAGAGGGCTGAAACAGCCAGAATCTGAAAATAATAAGCACTCACTTATTGAATATCTACTAATAAAAACCACAATCTCAATTTACTTCTAATCTTGGTCAGTAAATAATGTGCACATGTTTGCTTTTCTACACATATACACAACTGTGTACTCCGTATGGTGGAGTCTCCACGTTTCCACTTGAAGTTACCCCATACTCACATGTTCACATATTGACACAGTTGTCCCACTCAGTTTTTAATGGCCTGTAGTTTTCCATCATGTGAATTCATAAATTAAGAAAACATATTTTAAATGCTGTCTGAAAGGGTCAACATATGAACAGATTTATAGGGAAGGGTCTCGTCGTGGGAGTATAAGGCAGATCCGCTTTGTGGGGAAATTTATCACTTTGGGGGGCTTGGGAAATGAAATAGCACAAAGTATTATTCTTACAGTCTTCCATCTATGCAGACAGAACCTTGGGCTAGGGATCTAGGCACCTGGCTCTGACTTTGACTTTTTCTTTTGTTTACTTTGAGTTTCTTTGTGAGATGCTTTCTTTCCCAGGTTCCCAAATTTTATTTGTGCTGTTCTGATAATCACAGGAGTCACAAAAGCACAGAGATGCAGGGCTCCTCAGAGGTTGAGTGACTTGCCCAAGGTCACAGAGTCAGCCAGTGCCTCTGTGGACATCACCTCCACCAGCTTCCTAGTTTTGGAGAATTAGGTCAGAGATGGAGGGTTTGGTCCTCTGAAGAAAGGCCCGGAGGGAACCTTCATTAAGACCCATGCCCAGCCCAACCTTGAGCCTTCGGCATGTTTTTCCATCTAGGGAGTTGCTGTGTGCCTCTGCTTCTGGATGCTCCATGGGGTCTATTTGACCTTGCTTTATAGAAGGGAGAGGAAGGGCCATGAGGGCCCCCGGAGCCCCGAGGCTGTCCTGTTTCTCACTCACAGGACTCCTTCCTCATGTCTTTACCTTTCCCATCTGTTTGAGCTGGCCCTTCCTTTCAGCTGCTCTTGGAACAGGCCAGAGTCATCACCATGTTGCTATTCTGTGCTGGCAGAGTCTGTGGACTGTTTGACCTGTCGTAATTATCTCACCACCTTGCTCTATTTCTGTCTCAGTTCACAGAAGACTCAAAGCAAACCAAGACACAGGCACAGGGGGCAAGTGTAACCGGGGCAGGGTGCGGCTTGGAACCCTAGGACACTAATTCCAGTTTGACCTGGACACTTCTCGTAATGTGGCCTATATCTCAGCTGTGGTCAGAGGCCCCCTGCCTGACAGGGAGGGTGGTAGACTTTCAGAACCAGGTGGGACCTTAGAGAACCAGTAGCATTCCATGGAGCCGTAGGGTTGTGCAGAGGCATACAGGGCCCAACACAGGGAGTGGGGGCAAGGTCAAGGGAGGCCTGGTGTGGGAAGGGAAGGTGGAGTGAGTAGGGCCTTGCCTTCCCATCTGTTTCCATCAGTGTAACTGCACTTGGATCTGGATTCTGTGTGAGCCTTTCTTTGATACAAAGTTGGAAACTACTGATCTTTTCGAAGTCCCTTCAATTTATGAAGGAGAAAGCTGAAATTGAGCAAAGAAAAAGGCTTTGCCAAGGCCACTCAAGTGGTTTAGTAGCAGATAGGGCTTTAGGAGGAGACAGGCCCAGTGGCAGGGGCCGATTGCTGAGGACATTGACTCAGCAACAGGACCCACTTCTCCAAGAGTCTTGTGGATTTCTGTGTCTTGTCCTAGCTCTGGCTGGGAGGGGCCAGAGGGCCAGTGCTGCTGTCACAGGCTGGCTGTGAGCAGGAAGAGCCATTCTGCTTTGGTCACTATGTGCTCAAACAGGGAACAGCCCTACCCTGAGCCCCAAAGAGCAACGGGCCTTTCTTCATGGCCACTGAATCCACAGCTTGTGAAGATCTGGTCAAATCCTAAGGATGTCGCTGACCTCTGTGTGATTTTAGATTTGTTATATAATCTCTCTGAGCCTCAGTTTCCCCATCTCTAAAATGGGAGTGAATGCCAGTTGTTTCCTCTGGCCTTCATAGGAGACAATCAGATCATGTCTGTGAGGTGCTAACCACAGTGCTGGTTACACAATGAAAGTGCAATAGACACACTAAATCATTGCTACCAGATGAACATCACTGCCAGGGAAGCTCACAAGAGTAAGAGGTCAGGTCCTGGACCTTTCTGCTTAGCACACAGCAGAGCATATAAGTGACTCGCTAAAGATTTAGTTAAATAAACAAATGACCAGGGAGACTCCTTAAGGTGGAAGAAAAACATTTTTGGGGAAATGGCCAAGAGGAGTGACAATGTGTGCTTCCATTCTCCCTCAGCATCCTTACCATTCGAACAGGGAAATGGAGTTGAAATGAAAACCAAGGGCTGCCTCAAATGAGGAGGGGCACGAGCTGGGTTCCCACAGCCACTGAAGCTCAGGGTTCATGAAGTCACCCACATCTCAGCTCTGAAAAGATCCTGTGGCCTTTAAAATCACTCAGGGTCAGTGCCAGGCAGAGGAGAAGTCAGGTACCGTCAGGCTGGGGAGCCTCCCTTCTTACCCTCCAGTGTGTGGCACTGTAGGCTCTTCTGTGGGGCCAGGGGCACTTTTGGGTGCTGCAGCATGCTAGAGGATGATGATAATGATTGTGGCAAAAGGAGAGTTCCAGGTGAGCTTTTCTAAAATGGGTCATGGAAGTTAGGGACACCTGTGATGGCAATTAGAACCTGCAAAATGGAGCCACATGAAGATGGGAGAACCAAAGAGAGAGGAGCCTGGGAGGATGGATCAGGAAGATTGGAGTACTGCCCAATTCAGGAGGATTAAATAACCAGCCATATGTTTTTGTTGTTTACTGGTTTTCTGGTGTTTGCCTCTTAGGTGGGGCTCTTCTAAATGGGCTGGGATAATTCAGACATTAATGATTTCTGGAAGAAAACCAGATGGGGGATGGCTTCCAGATTTTCCCTCTTATTATTTCCCATGATGAGTCCAAGAGTCGTCCACTTCCCTGATCTGGAGCCAGTACCCTCTCTGCCTCTCAAGGGCCCTCCATACCCATTGATGTCTGTTCCTCTTCTTCTTTGGTTACCCAGTAAAGGTTAGGATCGTTCAAAAGCATCTTCTACTCAGAGACTAAGGGCAAAAGAAACCAGACAAGAAATCATCAAAGTGAATAGATTTAAGGATCACAGGCACTTCATTTAGTTTCAGCGTTCGATGAACGGATTGACTGGTCTTTTCCTCCCTGTGATGGTTAATTTTATGTATCAACTTGGCTAGACTACAGTGCCCAGTTTTTTGATCAAATACCAGTCTAGATGTTTCTACGAAGGTATTTTTTAGATGTGATTAATATTTACAATCTGTAGACTTTGAGTAAAGCAGTTCACCCTCTAAAATGTGAGTGGGCCTCATCAACAGTTGAAGACCTTAAGGGAAAAAGACTGAAGTTTCCCGAAGAAGAAATTCTCCCTCTAGACTGCTTTTGTACTCAAGGCTGCATCATCAACTTTTGCAGGAATTTTTAGCCAGCCTGACCTGCAGATTTCAGACTTGCTAGCTCCCATGATTGCATGAGCCAATTCTTTAAAATCTCCACCCCCTTACACACACACACACACACACACACACACACACACACACACACACACACACACCCTATTGGTTTACTGGTTTTGTTTCTCTGGAAAACCCTGACTAATACACTTACCTAAAACCAGCTCAGTGTGGAGGTGCCCAGACTCCTCCTGAGGGGAGATAGGTGAATCCCCCTCTCAGGTCTGGTGAGTGCTCCAGCCCGTTTCCTACTCCACTTCCTTGACTTCTTGCTGGGAATAGTCCTTCTGGGGTCCTTCTGTGCCCTCTGCCTCCAGCCTCTTTGCTCCCCTCTGTTGCTGTTATCCTCTGCCTGTGGGCTGGCCCTGCCCTCTGGCTCTCAGGGTGAAGAACTACCTTTCCTAGTAGGCCCCAAATCCTTTTCAGACCCTTGATCTGGGCATGCTTTCAGGAGGCCATCAACAGACTCTTGTAGCCAACTGAGCCCTGTCTGTGGCCTTAGCACATGGAAATTAGGCTTGATCCACTTCTGTCTGCCACTTCCCATTTACCTATAGCATGTTCACTGGCAGGTTCATAGCTGGTTCTGCCATTGGGTGAAACCTTGATTCATCTTCTATTTTCCTATGTTAGCATCCATGACTAGTCTCCTAAGGACTTAACTCTCAGGCACCAACTTTCATCTCCAAAACTTCTATTAATTCAACTTCTTCCCACAGTCAGATGGAGATGCTCATCAATTCCTGCCTGTAGGTCCTCCTGGGCTGCCTGTAAAAGAAGGATGTATGGTGGCTGGGTGCAGTGGCTGAAGCCTGTAATCCCAGCACTTTGGGAGACCGAGGCGGGCGGATCATGAGGTCAGGAGATCGGGACCATCCTGGCTAACATGGTGAAACCCCGTCTCTACTAAAAATACAAAAAAATACAAAAAATTAGCCGGGCGTGCTGGCGGGTGCCTGTAGTCCCAGCTACTCAGGAGGCTGAGGCAGGAGAATGGCGTGAACCCAGGAGGTGGAGCTTGCAGTGAGCCGAGATCACGCCACAGCACTCCAGCCTGGGTGACACAGCAAGACTCCATCTCAAAAAAAAAAAAAAAAAAAAGAAGGATGTATGGTTCATTCTCTCTCCTGCTCATTTACCTATTGTAATACTTAGTCCATTACATACATTACCTTATTTAACCCATATAAAAACCTTATTGGATGCATATTATTATCCTCATTTTATTGATTTGAAAATTGATGCACAGAGAGGTTATATAACTTGCCCCAGACCATACAGCTTGAGGATGGAATTCAACCCGAGGCAATCGGAATCCAAAGCTTATGCTCTTAGCAGGGGATACATGAAACCTAGCAATTAGAAAGGAGTAGGGGTGAGGAATCAAGATAAATGAGACAGAGACATAAAGCAAAGCCAGGAATAAGATGAATGCAATTACATGCAGTAGAAATTTCTGTGCATGTGCTTTGGTGGGCTGCTCATTTGGCTGCTGACAGGTGGAAGCCTCCTCTGTCTTTCAGCTCACTTGCTGAGCTGAGATGTTTGGCAGCTCGTGGTGTTGATATGATCAAGCGCAGACAATCAGCAGCACCCATCTCCCTAAATTCTCTTGAGTGTCTTATCATGCAGGTTTTACCCTCAAATTGAGGAAAATAGGTCTCTGAGAATTCTACTGACACAGTTTGGCAAAATTATTTTGCATTTGTGGTAAAAATGAGATAGAAATACCCCTAATAAAAGGGATGAATCTTTTTCTTATAGAATAATGATTTGGTATTGGCATTAGAGTGTAAACCCAGGGAAAGCTGCAACTTCAGGACTTAGCTTTTCCCTCCCTTTGTGTTCCTAATAGTACCTAGTCTAGTGTCATGCTCATAGCAAGTGAGGAAGAGATATCAATTGCATTGAACAAACATGACTATTGGTGAATGAGGAAGAGTGTCTCCATAGGATCTTCTTGTTACAAGAGGAAGGATCCATTTCTGGGGTGGACTTCCAAGTATTCAATGGTTCTAGAGCTAATGAAAGGTAGTGTGGAAAGTGCAGTGGAAAAAGCCTGTGCAATGTGAAGTCTGGAATCAGACCTCTGTGGCTCTACCACTTTGTAACTGTGCAGTCTTAAGTAAGTCCCTTAACCTCTCTGAATCTCAGACTAAAAAATGGAAAACTCTTATCATGTGAGCATGAGAAGCCTACAAGGGAGGATGTTCCAGAGCCTGGCATTTGGTAGGTGGTTCCCAAGTTCCATTCATTCCATCATCTGTTTATTCAGAACATACTCAAGGGGCATCTGCTGTGGGCCAGGGTCTGTGCTCTGTTCTGGGAATACGACAGTGAACAAGACAGACCACCTGGTAGCTTCCATCCTCTTCCTTTGCTTCCTTGCCAGAGGATGGTAGTTTCTGCAGCAGGTATTTAATAATAGGGATACCCTAAGTCCAAGTTGTTGAGGGGACAGATGGCGGTGGGGTGAGGGGAGCAGCAAGAAGATTGGAGAAAACTCAGGGAAGTAAGGATCCTGTACTGAGAAACGTCCTCCTCTGTCCAAATTTCCCTGTATCCCAGCCTCTTGTGAAGCCAGGAGCCCAGTCAGGCAGTGACAGAGGCAAGACTCATCTAACTGCTCTGTCCCACATTGGAGCTCACCAGGGCCATATTGTTGCTTTTACTGAGAAAAGACACATTTTTCACTGCTAGACACTCGAGTGCCTCCAGGGTTCTAGGTTTGCATTTCAGAGAGAAGAGGAGGATGGTTTAAAGTTAGTAAAAAGCTCTGGTGCACTCCCCAGGCCCAAGGGTGCACTCCCCAGGCCTGAGGCCCACTGTGTTGTTGAAAATGACACACTAATTACATGCAGACCTCAGCACTGCACTCTTCTCCTCTCCTCCTGACTCCTCATGGTGTTATGTTTGCATTTTTCTCACCCTCAGGACCAGCTTTTGCATCTCTCCATTCCATCTGGGAAGGGTGTGTGTGTGTACATGTGTGCGGTGTGGATGGGGGACCCACAAACACTGTGAACTCAGAGGCTGCTAAGTCGGGACTAACAATCTTCCCAATTATGATCTCTTTGAAGCTGTAAGCACACACTATGTTTACCAACATGCACTTGTTTACATGTTTTGTTTTACAAGTCCCAGGCCCCATTCTCCCTTGTGTGTTGGCTGTCCATGTTAGACTGGAGGCACTCTGAAGGCAGGGCCTGCACCTCATCCTTCAGGAGGCTCTACTCTTAGTGCCTGGTATAAGGTTGAAGACCCAGAACTCTCCTGGTCCCATTATCATGGAAATAGTGAGCAGCAGTTTGCTTGCATGCTCAGTTGAGATGTCAGATGGATACTTGAGTTATTCTCATCTATTTCTCTTACCAGAGAGAAGAAGTGTCACCCACACATGTTGGAACACCAGAACGTAAAATAGATGAAAGTACAGAGGAGGGGAGGAGGCATGACCTCCTAGGGTTAAGGGACCCCTAAGGATTAGGAGTCCTAAGATCAATTCCCTACCTCTCAGGCTTACTGTGGAATTGTGATGTTTCTGCTGCCTCTGGACTTTGTCTGCCCAGCTACTGTTCTCCCCTAGGCAGGGCCCGCCTTCTTGTCTTACCTGCACTGGATCTAAAAGCACACACTATCTGGCATCTTTCCCTTTATTTACCTTTAATCCTTTAACTGAAAATGACCAAAAAAAAGCAACCATAAAACCCCTTCTCAAGGCATGGTGAAACATTCCTTTTTAAGCAAGCCTATGCTTTTCACTACACTAAAAGGTTGATGAGGACAAGGATCATGTCTTTCTCACTTATTATGTTATCCCCCAGCACTTACCACAGTGCCAGGCCGTGCTTAATACGTTTTGTACAAGCACAAGAATGCACTTTGTATACATGAATGTACAAACACATGAAGAACATGTATTAAGCATGGAGGCAGAGGAGGATCTCATTCTTCTGAGACCTCCCTTCTCTCCTGGGAAGGGGTCCTAACTCATGGAGTACACTAGCTGCCTCCAGTTGGAGGAAAGCTGTATTCTGAGGTCTTGGGGCTAGGGGGCAGTGTTCACCTGCTGGTATAAGCCACGGTATCTCGTGTGTGTGTGTGTGTGTGTGTGTGTGTGTGTGTGTGTGTGTGTGTGTGTGTGTGTGTGTTATGTTGATGATGATGACTGGTACATTAATAAGCTCTGGCTCCAGAGAGAATTCTAAAACTCCCTCAAAACAACTTAGCTCATATTTCCATGAGTACCATTCTTAAATATGCCCTTAAAATGTTATTCTGCATATATGCTGCTGAACAATCGGGTTTATTTAAAGATTTAAGGTTTTTTTAATTCAGTAAACTTTATTTATATATAACAACAGTACAAATTGTGTCCTCAGCTTGCAAAATAGGAGTGTTTCATATTTACAATAGGTACACAATAATATATTAGAATAACAAAAAACCCCACTTTATTGGAACATTTTAAATACTTAATTTTCTTACAGTTTTTATTCCACAACACCTGTAAAAACAACAAAACCAGACAACCATCATTGTATTTTCTTAAAAATATATATAATACAGATTCCAGTGTGTCAAGAGGAGTGGGTTTGAGCAGGAAAAGTTGTGGGGAAAGGCAGGTGGGCTCCGGCCCCTAGTCTCATGGGATAGAGAGCTTGTCCCTTCTGCCCTTACACACGCAAGAATATCTGTTCTGTTTGGGGGGAGTATTTCCATTCTGCCTGCCACCTTCCATGCCAAGATGAAGGCCAAATAAGTCAAAGTGAGGACTTTGAAATGCAGAAGATGTTTCCTACCTTCCTTGAGGCCAGGGTAGGAGGGAGCAGGCTGCACTGCAGCAGAAAGAAGACAGCTCAGGCTGAAGGGAGAGCTTCTCTGCTGTGAGAAGAATGAGATGTGGGTGTCCACGAGAGGCTGAGGAATCTCCAGTTTGCTTATTGGGTGGAGGCCCTGTATGCCAAGCAGTGGCTGTGATCGTGTCTCAGGACTTTCCCTAGCACTAGTTAGAAAATACCAAGAGTGAAACTTTATCCCTCATTCATGGGGATCACTGAGCTCCAGATACTAAAACGTCACACTTCAGGGAAACTAGGGAAGAGAGACTGAGTTATGGAAAGGATGCTACCATTTTTCTCAAAGCATGTTCCTGAGACAAGGCGTCGGAAGGCCCTGAAGTTCATCTCCCAAGTTCCCCGTCGATCTGCTCCCACAGCCCTGTGTCTGTGAAGCCACTTTGCATTTTCTCACCCACTGAGCCTCCTGAGTCTCAATTCTTTTCTCTCTGTGCCCAGGCCCCAGGAGTCTCATGCAAGACACAGCGTGGCTGGGAAAAAAAGACGGCCTCTCCTGGAGCAGCTGCTGGATCAGTATTTACCAGGAGCAGGTTAATGGGGGCAGGCGTGGCAACCGGGATGCACCTGGAGATTTATCAGCCAGAAGCTTTCAAATGCTCCCTATTTGTTCTGCCCAGGCCATTCTTCGTCCAGCACTCATCCATTGCTTCTGTTTCACGCTCAGCAGGGCCAGGGGTCTTGACTGCTATTTCCTGTCCTCATTTGGTGGAACTGAAGGAAGGTCAGAAGCTCAAGCAGCAGGTGAAGTGCAGCCAGAAGAGATGGTGGCAGTAGAAACAAGAGCAGCTCTCATCGCTGGGGGAATGGCCCCAGAATAAGGTAAGGCAGCTGGGTTGGTCTGCTTTCTTCCTTTGCTGGACCACTTTTCCTACAAAACTGGTACCCTGTGCCACTAGGGGAGGAGAACTGTTGCCTGCTAAGTTGGTGGCAGGAACCAGCTTCCTGAAGGATATAAATTCGCTGGAAGAAAGACCTTGGTTTTGTTCCGTGCTGTTTTCCCATCTCTAGAGCAGTGGCTGGCAGACAGTGGCTACTCAAGAAGGTTCCCAGATGAATGAATGCAGGAAACAGTTCCCTCCTCCAATGAGATTAACAGCTGATCCATGCTTTTAATGACTGAACTCTGTAAAGAGGGGAACCCTCTGCCAATGGGGGATCAAAATGGTTTTGAGAGCCCTGCTGTGGAGAGAGGTAGGACAGCAAGCACAGAAGCACCTGACCCCATGCAGAGGACGGGAGGCAGCAGCAGGGGCCAGCTGGAGGGAGTGCTCTCCATTGCCCATTAGCATCCTCTGTCTTGCCAAGCACCCTTCTGGGGTCCTCTTCCTTTTCCAGAGCATTGTCTCTTGTGCAGATCAATGAAACGAAGCGAAGCTGGATAGACTTTGGAGAGAGACTTCCCTCTCTGCCTCCCCCAAGATGAATGGCTTCTTGTGGAGAGGAGCTGTGGCTTTAACACTTCATCCTTACCCAAGGTCAAAATATCCTCAAATTGGATAACAGGGAGAAGAGAGGCCAACCAACTCCCTCTTTTTCTCATCCAAAGGGTGTGGACTTCATTGGTTCTTGGTGGCCCAAAGCGAAGAGGTGTGGAGGAGGAACAGGTGGGCAGCTGGAAAGGGGGCAGGGCCTTATAACCTTTCACCCTCATGGCGTGGCTTGAGTCCAGCTTTTTCCCTTTTCTTAATTCCTTCCTTAAGGATGCCCCAGGCTACTTCCTTTGTCAGCCCAAGTTCCCCAAGTCTCTCATGGAATCCTGAGAAATGTGGCCAAACCACTCACAGCCAGCTCCGGCTCTTCACTCTCCACCCTCCAATTGGCCATTGCCCCATCATTCTCCACGCTCTCCACAAACCTTCAAGGAAACGCCCCAGGGGCAGTGAATCGTCTCCAAAAGTAACTGCTGGGAGATGCCAGGTAGATGCATTGAGTTAAGGGCTGGTAGAGATGCTACTGAGATGTCCGACTGCCTTTAACTTCTTGGTGGAGCAAAGCCTGGATGCCAGTCTGAGCAGCCATGCGGCCAGAAAATCTTCACCCAAACAGAGCTCAGAAGTTAGATGGGGTGGGCTGAACTTTTTTACAGGTAGCATAAGGTCTCCTGGTCACACTCTTCTTACCTATATCTCCTTTCCTTTTATCTCCATAAATTATGGGCTCTGCGCTGATAAGCTTTGAGTGCTATGAAGAGCAAACACTTTGGCTTAGTGCGGAAGGCCAGTCATTAGTATTTCCTTCAGGCTACTAATAGGGCCTGAGAAACTTTAAAGAAGTGGATTTTCAAAAGAAAGTGGCCTTGGCATGGCTGGTTGTGAATTATAATGAAAACAGCAAGTTTCCTGAGTATTTTGCTGAATGCTTTTCTCTTCCCATTTGTCAGCCGCATTCAGGCAAGAAACTAGAGCTGGGGAGACCGGGCAACGTCTGCTGTGTGGTTAGACAGCGATCCAAAGCTACACGCCAAGGATGGAAGCCAGACCTCTGCGCTCCCCTCCCCCAGCCCTCTCCTGGGAATCACATGTGGTCAGCAGGGCCTTTGGAAATTGGAACCACTTGGAGGTAAAGCAGGGCACGGAGAAGCTGGAGCCCAGAGTTAATAACAGAGAAAATGACCCTGGTCTAGTCTCTCTTGGAGGAGCTGGTCTAGCTTCCCAGCATCATAGCCTAGGATTCCTGACCCTTTGAAAAGTGAGGAAGGGCAGCTTGTTCCTCTTTGTCTTCCCCAGTCCCACACCTTTGCTTCCACTTGTCCTCCTACCCCCTGACTCCAGTGCTGCTTGCAGAACAGTTGGAGCTGGCTGCTCGGATCCAAGGTAATGTGGGAGGCCTGGACACTCTGATGGCTATCCTGGCCACCAAGGTCCTGACACTCACAGAGCGCCTTTCCTCTCGATGACTCCCACTGGCTTCTATGGGGCCTTTGGACCTGGGCATGGAGCTTTGGTCTCTTTGTTTGGAATCTACACTCAGGAGAATTGGTTATCCATAGTTTTAGGCATCATCAGAAGAGACAGAGAAGGAAAGTCCAGTGAGAAGTCATCCACTTGTCCTTCACACTCACAAGTCCGTGAGAGGCAGAAAGAGAGGCAGAAGGTAGTAACGTGGGCATGCCACAGTCATTTCTACTGAGGAAGTGCTGTAGGCCCAGATGGTCAGGAGCTTCCGTATATGAGCGAAGGGTGGTCTCCCCTCTCCAGGCACGAGAGAATGAAAGAAAGAAAGCATAATAATAAATACTGCAGCTTCTGTAACCTATGCTCTTCAAGTATTGCTTGCTGTAAACAGTGTTTGATTTTTGTTTTCTTTTTAATTGCCAGGGACCACTGGATGATTGGAGTGAACTCCAAAGTCAAACACCTATGTCTCCAAATCAACTTTCAAATGGAACCTCGTGGAGGCCTGGCCCACACACCTCCAGGCCGTTTCCCCAGGGTGCCTGGTTTATGACAGGGATTGATATGAGGCAGGGCTGCCAGGTGTCTGGTCTGGGAGAGGCCCACCTCACCCCACTTCTCATAGTAACTTTAGGGAAATTGAAAGGAAACATATCAAAGACCAGCTCCTCATTTGTTGAGGTTTAGGATTAAATAAAACAAAACAAAAAACAGTAGCAAAAAGCATTGGTACTATCTAGGTACACATCTCCTCTCAAAAGATGAGAATATACAGGTGTGTGGTAGATAAAGCTCAGTTTCCAGTCAGCCAGGGTGAGCTCTTGATGGCTTTGCAATTTGTGCAAAGTTCTGGAAGTTCCATACTCCTCTGGCTGCCGGGATAATTCCAGGTTTTACTGGCCTCTGTTTTTGCGAAGTGTTTGGTGCATACTTGTGCTCATCATTCTTCTTCTCCTCTTTCTCTTTTTTTTTTTTTTTTTAATTTCAAGGAAAAGGAGACAGTCATTTTCTCTCCAATGTCTCTCAGCATCTCTGCTTTCTCTGGCATTTGGAAATAGGCATTATATAAAGAAGGAGGAATGGGAGAAAAGATGGAAGGGAGACAGAAATCAGAATTAAACAAAAGTTGGACGGGATTAACAGGGCGGCTTTTTGTTTTATTTCTGTTTTTTTCCCTTTTTCTTAAAAAAATTAAATAAAGTTCTCATTATTTCCCCAATATACATCAAATGAGTTTTCATGCAAAGCAGCAGTCACAGAGGCAGAACTGTCCCCAGCTCGTGCCTCTCGGCTTGAAGAACCACCTTCTCCCGGCCCCGGGTTCTCTGGTGTTCTCACTGAGGATGGACGACGCCCACTGTCTCTCCCAGCTGGAACTGGCTATGACGAAACTTGGCTGGCGTAGGGAGAGGAGTCCTCCCCTCTCCCCAGGATGGGGTCTCAGGGGACAGCAAGCTCTGGGGCCTGATCCCCATCACTTGTCCTTCCATCTGAGACTCCCAGTGTGACAGCTTGGACAGGTCCCTCTTCCCAGGAATGCGAGGCTCCTCCTCTCAGCTCTCAATGGACATGGCATTAATGAGCTGCTCCACCTTATAAGCCAGCCGCTGCCGCCGTGCCTGCTCATCCTGCTCTAGGGCCCCGATGAGCTGAGGAGCAAAAACAAAGGCAGGAAGACTTCAGGACTCAGAATAGAAGACACCATTTTCTGGAGTCGTTCCCTCTTTGCCCTCTGTCTACCTTTCCATTCTGCCTTCATGCACATAACCTTAAATAATTTAAATGATTAACTGAATGAATACATGCACACACACCTATATATATGTATGTATGTATGGTGTTTCAAACATTCTCTGGCATAGGAAGTGCTATGCAAGTGTTAATTATTGCTACTACTACTACTACTTTCACGTTCAATGCTAAAGAAGCTTTGTGAGTTTTCCAAAGGTATCCTAATCAATCTCTATTCATATTAGGGTCCACCTGTCTATCTGAAATGTAACTGACAGGATCTGCCCGAATGCAAAGAATAGTTTGATTCATTAAGAGAGAATGAAATTAATTATACCATACTTTGAACTGAAAAACAAATGATTAAAAGTGTTATTTATTGTGTTAACAATGAGTGAAAGACAATGAAGTGTATAAAGCCTTCAGTGAATCAGGAGTTGAGTTGCCTCATAAAGGAATGATAATTTTCGAGCTCATGGGCTTCTGACTCCCTGAATGTGTTTTCTAAATTGCCATCTATTTAAGGACTGAGTCAGGCTTCCTGCTCCTTGCCTGTTGGTTTCTGTCCCTGCTGGGGCCCTGTCTCACCTCCTCACTATACTTGCTGACATAGGAGTAGATCTCATTGAGGGCACTCAGCATGTTGAACTCCACGGCGTGCAGGCGGGACTGCTCGGCGAGGTAGGCATTCATGTCCTGGTCACTGATGGCTGGGAGCTTGGCGATGTCTGCGTAGTATCTGCCAGAGACAGGATAGGCGCCTTGGTGGAGGCCTCAGCAAACATTTACCTATAGCTACCCCGGGCCCAGGTCCTTCGAGGGCACTGATGTACCCAGTTGCTCCTGCCTCCCTATTTCTCTTCTGATGTGGCTTCCTCTGGCCTCTTGCTTCATGCTGAGGTTGAGGCTGAAGGCCAGAGTTTCTTCAGTAGATTCCATCTAGCCGAGAGCTCGTGGCTGCGGTGCCCAACAGAGTGGTTAAAAGCCCAGACTCTCACCAGGCTCTTTGTGTTCAAATCCCAGCTCTGCTACCTGCTAGCTGTGTGACGCAGGGCAAGTTATTTACCCTCTCTGTACCTCAGTTTCCTTATCAGTAAAATGGGGATAATAATAATACTGGCTTCACAACTCTGCTGGACATTTTAATGAGATGATACACACAAAATCTTTATCAGAATGCTGAATGCTTAGCACATGCTCAATGAATAGTAATTAGGATGATAATCATCTGACTTCCACGGGCACAAAGCCACCCTTCCTCCCGCAGCAGGGGGTGTGGCAGGGAGGGGAGTGGGAGGTCCTGAAGAGATGACAGACACCGTCGTCTGAGTCCTTAGTCAGTGATGACTATAGAGCGGGGAATGGGCAGGGAGACAAGGGCATGGGCCTGTCCTGAGGGTGCTACTGACCTCTCCACCCAGCTCTTGTAGCTGGGGATGTCCTTGGCATAGAGCAGCTTGTTGGAGGGGGAGTCCTTGCCCAGCCGGTGCTCTGACGTTGAACAAGAGTCCATGAAGGTCTGGGCCACCACAGAGAGGCAGGCGTCCGTGATGCTGCCCTTGTGGATGTCAAACACGAACTGGGGGTTCTTAATCACGTTCACCCAGAAGCGCAGAGGGAGGCTGTGGGGAAAGGCAGAGAAGACTTGAGAATGCATGCGGGCCGTGCCCCTTCTGCTGCCCACTGATATTCTTCCCCATCAAAGGTCAAATTGTCCACCTGAAGGGGCAAAGGAGTAAAATGGAAGAAAATGGGTCCAGCCAGGGTTAATTTAGCCAAAGCTGTTACTGACCTGGGAGAAATGGAAGGAGAGGCACTTTGTACCCTAATGGGGGCACTGACCCTGATCTCTAACATCCGAGGGGTGGGCCTGGGTGTGTTCTGTTCCCTTCTGGGAGACTTTTCTAAAGGACTCTGTGCCCCTAGGCAAGCCCAAGAACAGAGGACAGCACATTTTCTCAGGGCTTCACACAAAGCCACCAGGCTCCTGGAGTCCCTTCACAGTGCCCGTGGCCATTGTCCGGAAGAAGGCAGCCAGGAGCCCCAGGCTCAGCCTCGGAGCAGGCACAAAGGGCGCCACCTGCGCTCCCCGCCCAGCCCGGCTGCCCAAGCTACTTCCCAGGGCTGGCCTGGCCTGGCTGGGCCGAGGAATGGGCTCCCCTGGGGGAAGTTCTTTCATGACTCTCCCCAGGGCGTTCTTGTATCTGGGCAGGGGCAGAGGGAGAAGTGGAGGCCATTGTTGGCATCCTGGGAATGACTCACTGTAGCTCAGAGATTTTCCCACCCCAAGAGGAACCGATCAGTAGTTAGGAGACTTCCTTCTGCAACTCGGGAATTTATAACCAGAGGAGAATGAGTTTTCTCTGCTCCTTAGACCATAAAGCAAATAAGCCCATTTACTCTCCTTCAAAATCAGAACAGCTGCTGCTTTTACTTCCTTTTCCAGCTTTGCCTTCTCTTCCAGCTGCCTTCTGGGCTTTAACTCTTTTGACTCCTCTGTGGAACCGGTCCTGTCACAGGCTTGTCCTCCAGCCTGAGATGATGTTCCCAGCTCCCCAGCTTCTTCTTCTCTCCCCTCCTTCATCTTCTCTTGACTCTCATGGGCCCCAAACTTTCCCAAATGTCTCAGTAGTGCCAGGTCTTGGGGAAGATCTGCTTTACCCAGCCTCAAGCCCTTCCACGATGATTTCTGCCTATCTTCCAAAACACAACAGGATCCCTCACTTTCCTCTAGCCTGGGAGAAGCTGCTGCAGCTGAGAGCTGACTCATCTCTTCTACCCTCCCCTTCTTCTGGCAGCCTTGGGTAGTTTCTGGTAATCTTTCCCTGGACATTTGCTATTGAGGTCTGGTTAAGGAAACTCTCTCCACACCACGATGCCAGGGTAGTCCATTTCTATTACTTGGATCTGGCCAGCACACAGAAGGCACAGAGATGCGGATAACCCTGGACTTTCTCTTGATTTCCCCTGAAGTGCCCTCTCCCAGCGCTGGGCCGGGGATGCTCCAAAGCAAAGGGGACAGGCATGTGCTGTCCAGGGAATGCAGATGGAAGGCCTGTCCTGGCAAAGTGGACTGTGGGCTCTTAACCCCAGGGCCACCCCAGCCTGTTCGTTTCACTCCACTGTGATCAAAGCTGCAGACTGAGGAAGGCTCAGCGACCACAAGACCCGGGAGGAGGAAGGAAGAGATGGGGCTGGGGTTGGCTTTTTCCAAAGTGTTTTGTTGGTTGCTAGGACTTTTGATTCCCAAATAACAGCCTGGGCCCATCTGTGTCGGCTCTGTTTTCTGAGGAGACCGCTAACTCCAGACAGCTGCGTGGGCTGCCTGCCCAACCCAAATGCCTGGACCTCCCCTCTCCCCTCTCTGTGCTCTTTCCCAAAGGAAGCCTTTTGATGCCAGCTCTTGGCCGGGTCCTGTCTGACCTGAAAGCCAGTCCTTAGCTTGGTCTGTGGTCCAGGTTCAAAACCCATGAGGATAAAGTCTCATACCAGGGGCCTGAGGGCTTCTCCCACTGCTGGTCTGGTTGCAGAGATGACTTTAGGGGAGAGAGTCATGCCTGCAGGGCATTCTGCCTGCTGCTTCCTGAAAGCTATGGCGCCAGGATAATCACTTGGCCTTAAGAGATCAAGTTTGCAATGAAATCCTCCCTGTCAGTGGGCTCAAGTCTATAGCAGGTGTGAACTCCCTCTCCGGTGCTGACCAACTTCACCGGGCGTCTCAGTTTAATTCAGGGATTCCCCATCTCAGGAAGTGCCTTAGAACTGCCCCACTCAGAATGCCCCACGATGTCTGGCTGTGAAGCTCTGCTGCAGGCTTCAAATGCAGCTCTTTGCATAGGTTCCCCCAGCTCCCTTCTCCTGAGAACCAGAGATCTCAGAGCCAGGGGAGGAGGCTCTTCTTGGGGTACTGGTCACAACCTGGAGGGGCAGAATTCAAGGGTGCATCCTATTGCTGTGCCTCAAGCCAGGCAGGCCCCACTTGGCACAGGCAGCTGGGGACCGTGTGGGCTCTGCAGAGCATATGTGCACTGTTTGTTCCAGGAGCTTTGGATCACCCAGCCCCAGCCGAGAATAGGCTATCCTCCCACCCTCCCATCTCCTGGTCCTCATCCCTCTTAGCTCCAGGCCTCTCCAGGCTGCACCTCCTGCTGAGCTCCCCGAGGGTTTACCAGTTGCTTTTCCAGGTGTGCCGCACATCTGTGTCATGGATGCTGTGCCTGTCTGCCTGCTCATCTAGGAAATCAAACATGTACTTGATGGCCAGGGGGAGAGCGCTGCCCCGGTGCACAGTGCTGAACAAGGTCTCAAACAAGTCGTCCACAAACTTCTGCAGGGTGCCCTGGAGGAGGGGTGGGGGAGAGTAAGATGGAGGGGGGTGACGGCAGGTAGCAGACAGGCATACCAGATGGTGCCTTGGACCCATCCTGCCTTGGAAATTTGTCTGGGACACGAGGCTGTGCAGGCAGTGTTGCGGGGTGGGGAAGGGTACTATTGGTTAGCTGGGGAGGTGGGAGAAACTGGGTGGGCTGTGAATCCTGGGGAAGAATCTCTCCTCCAACCTGCAGCCACATTCCACATTCCACACAGGGTGTAGGCTCAGGGTCTTTGACAGGAAGACAGGAAGTGCCCCGGGTCCGGGCTTCCCATGGGTGAATGAGGGGGCACAGGCTGCAAGCCAGTCCGGAAACAGTGTCCGAGGAACAAGCTGGAGGACTGGGTGCCTCCTGGCAGGAGCACAGCAGGACCAGGAGAGTCTGTTAGGAAGGTATGAAGAGGCTTAGGATGTTAGTGACCTGAGACAAGTGGTATCTGGAATGTGGAATGTGGGTGAAGGGTCTAGACTCAAGAACCACCTCCCCACAGGCAGAGTGCTGATCCACAGGGCTTTGGAGGGTCTCTGGGGCAGGAATAAGACTGGGCCTGGCTCCCACAGTTTACAGGCTCATGGCACACCTCTGAGGGTCAGCAGAAACCTCTAGCTTTTTCTGTTATCTCTTTGTTGGTCTCTTGTTGTTATGCTGAGCATATTAGGCAAAGCTAAAATGGAGACATGGGGTCTCGTGGAATATTTCTGGGCCACTCTGGGAGCAAGTGTGAGAGCTGTAAGTTGGATGCCACTGTATTAAAACTTCAGTGCCATTGTTGGAGGGTCCATCGGGGAGAATATTTGAAATCTAGCCCTGCGTGGAAAACATTGGCTCTTTGATTGTCATACTTACAGGCTTATTTTGCTACCTGCTAGGAAGGCTAAAAGATGAAGCCTCACTTCCATCAACATTTGGGGGTAGCTGGGGTGGGATGGGATGGGAAGAGGAAGCCTCCCCTTGGATTACTGGCAGGGCCAGGCCTCTGTGCTTTCCCTCCCATTGTGGCCAGAAAGGGGATAGAAAGGCCAGCATATCTATCCAACTAATATCAGCAAGAAACCCCACTGCCTTCCTAAAGCTTAAGGGGTCCAGAGGGAGAGAGTTACTCCTCTGAAGTGAAACAGTAGTCTCAAGAAGTACGCAGAAAGCAAAGATATATTTGCTATTTTTGCCAAAGGGTAGAGAACAGCGGTGGCCTGATCCTTTGGAAGCCCTGCCCAGGGAACTGGACTATCTCTCTCTCTCTCTTTTTTTTTTTCCAATTTTGTCCTCTTTTTTTTTTTT